>NC_000009.12:31070606-31222121 GCF_000001405.40 Homo sapiens | reverse complement strand
GGAAAAAATCAAGTATCATGCCTTTGGAGAGTTTCTATTTTAAAGGACAGTACAAGAAGGCACTTAGAGAAATTAAATGAGCAAGAGAGAGTGAATGCAATATCTTCCAAAGAAAGCTATATGTATATATAAATTTTGTATACATACATGAAGTTAACAAATCAAAAGTGTTAAGCTCAATTAATTCTTGTAGAGTAGTCACAATCCAGTTTCCAGCACCTTGATGAAGACGTAATTGCTAGTGTGACTCTTGAAACCTGTCAAACTCTAATATTTACACAGAGTGCATTGTTCAGTGTCTGGCTCTTTTTGCTCAGCCATATGTTTGTGAGATTCATCCATATTTCTCTGTGGATTTGTAGTTCATTTATTTTAATTTCTGAGTTGCATCTTTTTGAAATTTTATTTTTTAAAAAAATTAATATTATTTTAATTGAAAAATCATAACTTGTATATGTTCATGAGGTAAAACGTGATGTTTTAATATATGTATACAATGTGGAATGATTAAATTAAGCTAAATAACATATCTATCAATCACCTCACTTGTCCATCATGATTTGTGTTGAGGCATTCGAACTTTTCCTTTCTGGCAGTTTTAAAATATACACTACATTATTATTAAGTATGGTCATGAAAATATTTTATTGGACAAATGTACCACATCTTCTATATCCATGCTACTGTCTTTTTTAAAAGTTCAAAGTTTTTAGGTATTAGGAATTAGTCCTACTATGAATGAATACTCATTTTTTTTGAAGAAAGTAAAATCATATATAACATATATACCCATTTCTATAGATAATGTATTTACTTGTAGTGCAATATTTAGGTCATGAGGTATATTTGATTTTAGAAATATGTCAAACAATTTTCCAAAGTGGTTGTATGAAAAGCACATTGTAGCTCAAACTTCTTCAATGTCATAGACAGCATTAGCTATTTTCTACTTTTTTATATTAGCCATTCTGTTGGATGTGTATTGGTATCCATCTTAGTTTGTTCTATGTTGTTATAAAGAAATATCTGAGGGTGGCTAATTATTTTTTTATATATAAAAGGTTTACTTGGTTCACAGTTCTGATGGCAGGAAAAGTTCAAGTCACAGGATTGCACCTGCATTTGTTGGGGGCCTCAGACTTCTTCCATTCGTGATGGAAGGTAAAAGGGAGCCAGAGTGTTTAGAGATTACATGGCAAGAGAGGAAGCAAGATGGAGCATGGGTGGTACCAGGATCTTTTAACAACCAGCTCTCCTGGGAACTAATAGAACAAGAACTGACTCACACCCTAGGAAAAGCATTAGTCTATTCATGAGATGTCTGCCCCCATGGCCCAAACATCTCCGATTAGGTCCCTTCTCCAACACTGGGGATAACATCTTATCAAGAGGTTTGGAGGAGACAAATACTCGAACCATAGAGGTATCTCAGCATGACTTTAATTTTTACTTTCCTTGTGAATAATGTGTTTGATTATTTTCTCTTGTCTATTTATTAACTACTTAGATATTCACTTGAATGAACTCTGTCTACCCTAGCACCTAGCCTTTTTCCCCTCTATTGAAGCATTGAGGTTTTTTTTTTGTTGATTTGTAAGAAGTTTAGACATTATGAATGTAAGTTTTTTGCAGGATATATATTGCAATTATCTCTCACTGTGTGGCTTGTTGTCTCACTCCATTAGCAGTATTCATTTGAGAAACAGTAGTTCTTATTTTAATACAATCTGATTTGTCTTTTATTCTTTGTTTAGCACATTTTTCACTTACAAAATACTTTCCTACTCCAAGAATATTAAAATACTTTATTTTGTTCTAAAAACTGAATTAGTTTAGTTTACCTCCATATTTATTTCTAAAGTCAATATGGATTTTATTTATATGGTACATGCTGGGGCTAATAATTATTTTTAGAATATGCATCTCCATATGAAAATATTACTTTTTCTCCTCTATATAGAAGCATAGACTTGTCATGAATTAAATGTATTATAGACATTTAATTTTTTAAACGTATTATATATATAAAATACATCTGTGAATTTATATGTGCGCGTGTGTGTGTGAATGTGTGTGTGGATCTGTGTGTAGAATCTATTCAGTTCAATCTACTTGGATGATGGTGGTCTGAGGATTGATCTCTTTAATGAAGTGAGGACTGTGCTGAGTTAAGGTTCGGCTGTAGTTTGGTTAGGCTTTGTCTACCTCTGCTCATTCCTGCTCCTTTGGTTTAGTCTTCCATGTTATCCAGATCAGTACCTGTGTATTCACCGTGTTTCCCCCTAATCCTGAACTCTCATTTTTGTTTCTTCAGTGCAGTAAAACTGCAGAAAACACTCTGCCCTTCAGTGGCTTTCCTTCTTGGCTTTGTGTCCCATGTACTTTTAAGATCCAGAACAAAGGCTTGAGGAAAAAACTGGCAATGTGTATCAGGCCCAGTTCTCTGTCCTCCCTTTTCTACCCCTCAAGGCACCAAATTTACTTCTTCAAACTTATGAGCCAATTTAGGTTGGTGTCTTTTCTGGTCCCCACCAGTAGGTTTCTTCCAGGCAAAATCTGAATACTCAACCTCTTTTTCTATATCCCAAATTCCTAAATTCCCCAAGTAGCTGTAGACCCTTAGCTGAGCTCTCTGATGTCATTTCTCTGTATACATTTTGTGTTTGGGTAGTACAGATTGCTTCTACTCTCTGATATCTATAAATAATTTTTTTCCACAAAATCAGCTTTTGTAGTTGCTCCTTGTGGAATTATTTACCTCATCCAAATGACTATATAATACTTGAAATATAAATTTAAAAAATATTCAAATTTTAAATTGCAACAATAAAAATAAAGTACCTAAAATAAATCAATTAATAAATAGTCTATAATAAAATAACTTCAAAACTTTACTCAAAGTTATGAAGCAGTATGTAAAATTTATAAATATATATACATTATATTTAGAAAAGGATATTAAGTCAATCTTTAAAATCACTGTAAATTATCAATTAAACTGTTTTTAATTTATTATTTATTTATTTATTTTTAGACATGGTCTCACTCTGTTACCCAGGCTGGAGTGCAGTGGCACGATCTCCACTCACTGTAAATTCTGCCTCCTGGGTTCAAGTGATTATCATGTCTCGGCCACAGGAGTAGCTGGGATTAAAGACATGTGCCACTGTGTTGGTTAAATTTGTTGTTGCAATTGTTTTGGTATGTGATCTGCTCACCTCGGCCTCCCAAAATGGTGAAATTACAAGCATGAGCCACCAGGCCCAGCCCAATTAAACTGATTTTAAATAAGTTTTAATACAATATGTGCAGATTAAATTTGAAAAACAATTTCAAGGCTATTAAAAAGTAAATGTGTGAGACTAGCTTAGAAAAATAATAAAAATAATAAAGTTAATTAATGTTGAGAGACTGGCCCTATTAGATATTGAAATAAATTAGTTAATACAGTAACGTGATGGTAGAGATCAAATAAACATAATGGACTTAAACATAAGGTCATTAACTACACATTAATAATACAGTAATTTGGCTCATTACAAGTTGTATATTTCAGTTAATAAAGCAAGGATTAAATATTATTCAATGTAACAAATATCACCGGGTAGAAAATAATAAATTATGTCTCACAGCAGACACTAAGTTAAATCACAAATATATAAAATATTAAGAAAAATAAATAGCCTTAGCATTCTAGAAGACAATATGCCTCATATATGTTCAACATTGGCATAGCTTAGGATTTTAAAGCAAGATACCAAAACTAGAAACCATAAGGGAAAGTATATTTTTGAATAACCAAAATTTAAAAATTTAAAATATAGCATGACAAAATCACATTAAACAATGGGAGGATGGTTCAAAATTAAAAGAAAACCTGAAGAATGAGAGGCACACAGAGATTTTTATAAATATCTTACATATTCCTGGTGATACAAAAGATGTAACAATGCCTCAGTATTTCAATTTGGCTGAACTTGAGGTCTTGTACAAGCAGGAAGTGAAGGCTAAGATGAAATTTTATTAAAAATATATCAATACACACACACAACACACAAACCTACAGGGCCCCTTAGCAAAGGATTAAATAATTATAGGTTCAAATTATTTAAAGAAATTTTTGTCCAACCATCAAGTTACCACGAAAAAGATAAAGGAGAAATTTTAGAACCTACAAATGATGCCACTTTCAATAATGAGTGAAACAATAGGCAGAATATCAATAGATAAACAGAAGACTTGCACATGGTAAAACAACCACATGAAACAGATTTCTAAAGAACACTCCAGCAAAGACATAAAACATTCCCTTTGATAGATGATATATTACATTATAAAATGAAGCCTCAATAAATGTAAAGGAATTTAAATATTGAAAATTTGTTCTGCAAACAGAATGAAATTAAGTAAAATCAATAGCATAAGGAAATTCAAGATATTTAATATATGTCAAATAAGACAACAGACATCTAAATAATCAGTAGGTCAAGAGAGAAATCATAAGATCAATTAGAAAATAGTTTAAAATAAATTAAACAAAGAAACAAAACCAAAGAGCACATAAAATATATGACATGTAGAAAAAGCAGTACTTAGAGGAAAATATATAGCTAAAAATGCCTACATTTCAATGAAAAGAAAAATCAAATCAATTACCCAAATTTCTACCTTAAGTAGACAAAGAGAAGAAAAAAATAAACCTAAAGCAAACTGAATGTAGGAAACAATGAAGTTTAGAGCAAAAATAAATAATAAAATAGATAAAGAAAATTTTAAAACACAAAACCTGTTTCATTGAAAAAAGGCAATTTTTTTTTTTTTTTTTTTTTTTCTGAAACAGAGGTTGCTCTTGATGCCTGGGCTGGAATGCAATGGTGCGATCTTGGCTCACCTCAAGCTCCGCCTCACGGGTTCAAGAGATTCTCCTGCCTCAGCCTCCTGAGTAGCTGGGATCACAGGCATGTGCCACCATGCCCAGCTAATTTTGTGTTTTTAGTAGAGATGGGGTTTCTCCATTTTGGTCAGGCTGGTCTTGAACTCCTGACCTCAGGTGATCCACCCGCCTTGGCCTCCCAAAGTGCTGGGATTACAGATGTGAGCCACCACACCCGACCAAAAAAGGCAAATTTTTAACAGGAATGACCAGCAAAATGTTAAAGAATCAAATTATTAAAATTAGGAAAGAAAGAGAGGTTGCCACTACAGATCTTGAATAAATAAATAAATAAATATACAAATAAACCAATCGGATAGAAATAAGTCAAATTATCCTTGTTTGCAGATGATATGATCTTATATTTGGAAAAACCTAAAGACTCCACAAAAAAAAAAGATTAGAACTTATAAACAAATTCAGTAAAGTTGTAGGATACAAAATCAACATACAAAAATCAGTAGCATTTCTATGTGCCAACAGTGAACGACCTGAAAAAATAAATCAAAAAAGTAATCTCACTTACAATAGCCACACATAAAATTAAACACCAAGAAATTAATTTAACCAAAGATGTGAAAAAGTGCTGTAATGAAAACTATAAAATGCTTATAAAATAAATTCAAGAGGACACCAAAAAATGCAAAGATATTCCATGTTCATAGATTGGAAGAATCAATATTTTTAAAATGTCCATTCTACCCAAAGCAATCTACAGAGTCATTGTAATTCCTGTCAAAATACCAATGACATTCTTCACAGAAAGAGAAAAACAATTCTAAAATTTATATGTAATTACAGAAGATCCAGAATAGTCAAAGCTATCCTGAGTAAAAAGAACAAAACTGGAAGAATCACCTTATCTGACTTCAAATATACTACAGAACTATAGTAACCAAAACAGGATGTTACTGGCATAAAAACAGACACATAGGCCAATGGAACAGAATAGAGAACATGGAAGAAAATCCACACATCTACCATGAACTCATCTGCAACAAAGGTGCCAAGAACATACACTGGGGAAAGACAGTCTCTTTAATAAATGGTGCTTGAAAAACTGGATATCCATATGCAGAAGAATAAAACTAGACCTCTATTTCTTGCCATACATAACAATCCAATAGAAAAGGATTAAAACCTTTAATCTAAGACCTTAAACTGTGAAACTACTACAAGAAAACATTGGGGCAAATCTCCAGGACATTGTTCTGGGGGCAAAAATGTCTTGAGCAATACTCGACAAGCACAGGCAACCAAAGCAAACCTGGATAAATAGGACCATCTCAAGTTAAAAAGCTTCTGCACAGCAAAGGAAACAATCAACGAAGTTAAGAGACAACACACAGAATGGGAGAAAATAATCAGAATATATAAGGTGCTCAAACAACCCTATGGGAAAAAATGTAATAATCTGATCAACAGATGGGCAAAAGATTTGAATAGACATTTCTGAAAAGAAGACACACAAATGGCAAACAGACATATAGAAAGGTTCTCAACATCATTAATTATCAGATAAATGCAGGAAAAAACTACAATGAGATATCATTTCACCCCAGTTAAAATGGCTCATATCCAAAAGACAGGCTATAACAAATGGTGGTGAGGATGCGGAAAAAACGGAATCCTTGCACTCTGTTGGGGGGAAGGTAAATTAGTACAACCATTATGGAGAACGATTTGGATGCTCCTCAGAAAACTAAACATTGAGCTATCACATGATCCAGCAGTCCCACTGCTGGATATATATCCCAAAGAAAGGAAATCAGTATATTGAAGAGATATCGGCACTCCTATGTTTGTTGCAGCACTGTTCACAATAGCTAAGGTTTGAAAGCAATCTAAGTGTCCATCAACAGATGAAAGAATGAAGAGAATGTGGTGCTTATTCACAATGGAGTGCTAGTCAGCCATAGAAAGGAATGATATTCTGTCTTTTGCCACGAGGTAGATGGAACTGGAACTGGAGATCATTTTGTGAAGCGAAATAAGCCAGGCACAGAGAGACAGACATTGGATGTTCTCACTTATTTGAGCAACATAAAAATCGAATCAGGCCAGGCAAGCTGAGGTTAGCAGAGATTGCACAACTGCACCCCAGCCTGGGCCACAGAGCAAGCCTGTCACACACACACAGACACACACAAACACACACACACACACACACAAAGTTGAAGGATGGTAATCAAAGGCTGGGAAGGGTAGTGGGGGTCTGGGGTAGGGAGAGGTAGGGATGGTTAATGGGTACAAAAATAGGTAGAAAAAGAATACTTACTATTTGATAACACAACAGGGCAATTATAGTCAATAATAACTTAATTGTACATTTTAAAATAACTAAACAAGTCTAATTGGATTGTCTGTAACATAAGGGATAAATGCTTGAGGGGATGGATACCCCATTCTCCATGATGTGATTATTTCACGTTGCATACCCGTATCAAAACTTCTCGTGTACCCCATAAATAGGTATTATGTACCCCAAAATATTAAAAATAAAAGTTTACTCAATAAATATATGTTAACAAATTAGATAATAAACATAAAAAGGACAGAATCTTAGAAAGATACAAACTACTGAAAATGATTCAAGAAGAAATAGTGTATCAGAGGAGACCTATCACAAATACAGAGAATAAATTAGTCATTTAAAATCTCCCCACAAAAAAATCAGTCCAGGCCCCAACAATTTTACTGCTGAATTCTGTATAATTTAAAAAAAATAATTAATGATCCTTCACAAACTCCAGAATATACAATATGAGGGAATATTTCCCTGGTCATTTTGTGAGGCCAATAATAACTTGAGACTGATATTAGATAAGGACATCACAAGAAAAATTAAAAAGCTGTAGATACATGTCTCTTAAAAATATAGACTAAAAATGTCTGATAAAATTACAGAAATCCAAATTCAGCAACATATTAAAGATAATTATGCAAGAAGGTCAAATGACCTGTATTCTAAGAAGGCAAGGTTGTTTTAACATTCAAAACTCAATCCAATATACCATATGCTATGAACTGAATTGTGTCCTCCTCAAAATTCATATTTTGAAGCCTTAATCCTCAATGTGACTGTCTTTGGAGATAGTGCTTTTAAAGGGTAATTAAGGTTAAATGAGGTCATAAGTGTGTGTGGGGGGTCCTAATTCAATAGAATTGGTGGTCTTACATGAAGAGGGAGAGAGAGCACTTGTGCTCTCTCTCTTTTCATATACTTATACTGAGGAAAGACCGTGTGAAACACAGTGAGAAAATGGCCTTCTAAAACCCCAAAGAGAGCCCTCACCAGACATCCACCTTGCCAGCACCTTGCTCGTGGACTTTCTAGCTTCCAGAACTCTGAGAAAATTAACTGGTGTTGTTTAAGCCACTCTATCTATGGTATTTGTTATGGCAGCCTAAGCTAAGTCAGCATTTAATTAATAGAATAAAGGAGGGAAATCATACTTTTAATACACAGAAAAAGCACTTGACAAATTCTAACATTATTTCATGATTAAAAAAGATATTTTGCACATTAGAAATAGAAATCAAATTCCTTAGACAAACAAAGTACATTTATGAAAACCCACAGCTAACACATAATTAATTGTGAAATGGTTTCCCCCTAAGATCAGGAAAAAGGTGAAGGTGTTTCCCCTCACCACTTCTATTCAACATTGTACTAGAGATTCTAGCCAGAGCACTGAATCAAGACCAGGAAATAAAGGACATCCAGATTGAAAAAGAAGAAGCCCAAAATTTTCTGTTTGTAAGATGTCGCTGTCTTGTATAAAGAACACATTAAGACATCTTCTAAAATATTTTAGAAATAATAAAAACCTCAGTGTGATTGAAGGTTATAAGATCCGTACACAGACATCGCTAGTTTATGCACCTGGAATTAACAGGTTGAAATGAAATAAAGAAAAACAACTCAATTTACAATTATTATCGAACAGAATAAAATACTTATTAAACAATAGAACAAAAGTTGTGCAAGACTTTTCCATAGAAAATTCTATGTGGCTGAAAGAAATTAAAGATAGATAAAACAATTTAAACTATCTCTCATGTTAATGGACTGAAAAGCTATATATTCATAAGATGGTAATATTTCACAAATGATCTACAGGTTTGATAAAATTTCTATAAAAACCACACTTGCCAATCTTGAAAAAGAATATAATTGTAGAACTCAAAACTCTGTTTCAAAACTTACTCTGAAAGTATGGTAATAAAATGTGTGAAGCTGGAATAACCATAAACTTATAAACCAATAGAATGAAATCAAGATTTCAGAACTCATCTTTAATATTTATGGTCAACTGATTATTAACAAATGTCCCAAATAATTACATAGGGAAAAAATAGACTTTTAAACACATAATACTGAGACACGTAGTTATCTACATGCAAAAGAATAATAATGGATCTCTGCCCCCAAAATATATAAAATGAACTCAAAACAGATCACAGAACTAAATATGAGCTAAATTTTTAGCAATCTTTGAGGAAAACACAGGAGTAAATCTTTGTGGCTATGAATTAATCAATTGGGTTTAAACAATGGACAGCAAAATCACAATCAACCAAAATATAGATAAATTTGACTTTGTTAAAACTAAAAACATTTTTGTCTCAAAAACACTATCATAAAAATGAGAAAACAACTCAAATAATAAAAACATTTTAAAATCATATATCTAATAAGTAATTTCTATCCAGTGTACTTACTGTTGTAATAGTAAAATAACAATTCATTAAAAATGGCAAAATATCTGAATAGATATTTCTCCAAAGATGTGCACAAATGGCCAATAAGCACCTGAAAGCTTGCTCAACATAATTAATCATTACAGAAATAAAATCAACACAAAAATAAGGTACCACTTCATAACCACTTGGAAAGCTAACATAACAAAGATAGATAGCAAAAAAAAAGTTACGGAGCATGTTAAGAATTTGGAACAATCATATATTGCTCATGATGTTTATAATGATGAAGCCACCTTAAACAGCATTTTTAGTTTCTATAATGTGTTATGCATAAAGTTACGAAATAATCCAGAAGTTTCTTTGCTTCGTATACACTCAAGAGACATGAAAACATTTGTCACTGAAAAACTTGCACACAAATGTTTATAGCAGCATTATAATAGCCTAAATGTTGAAACACCAAAATGTCCATGAAGTGATGAATGGATAAACAAAATGTAGTAAATTTACACAATGAAATATTACTTGGCAATTAAAAAGATAAATTACTGACCCAAACTGCAACATGGATGAACCTTGAAAACACTGTTAACTGAAGGAAGCCAGTCGTCAGGGCAATATTTGTATTATTCTGTTTATAATGAAATGTGAATAATAGGCAAAATCACAAAGACACAATGTAGATTTGTTATTGCAAGGCACTCAGAAGTGGGTAGAATGGATTATTATTTCTAATAGTAATACAACTTTAGAGAGATTTATGAAAATCCTCCAGTTGCATAGTTGTGATTGCTTTATAACTCTGTAAGTAAACCAAAAGCCATTATATTGTACACTTTTGAAAGGTAAATTTTGTAATATGTGGGTTATTTCTCAAT
Source organism: Homo sapiens (assembly GCF_000001405.40). NCBI lineage: Eukaryota > Metazoa > Chordata > Mammalia > Primates > Hominidae > Homo > Homo sapiens. Next base: position 31,211,603 of record NC_000009.12, on the reverse strand, counting down.
CAAACTGTTTATGAAAACAACTAGAAATAACCTGAATATTATTAGTGTTAAAAGGAATAATTATCTATGAATACTTATCAGTGGGGGAATGACATAATTATAGAATGAAATGATGGCAGCGACAGTCCATCTGGAGTGGCTGCTGTGAGGACTCTGGCTGCAGGGGGGAGGTGCAGCTCTAGACTTTGAGTTCCAACCAGTGTGGGAGGGGCACCAGCGGAGGTGAGGGCAGCTCATCCTGCAGGCCTGCTGGCACCATCTCGCATGAACGGCCTGGGCTCCATGGACAGCGTTAATGGCAGACGGGTTCCTGCGTGGGAAGGGGCGGGTCGAGAACCCTTCAAGCCAGGAATGTTCTGAAGCCTAGGGTCTGGGGCTGCCTTGCTTGCATTCTCTCTGTGTTTTTGCATTATCATCCCTCTGTCAGCATTTTGTGACCAAAATTCCTCTTTTTATGAGTCATATTCTCATTCTGAATTAGAGATTACTGTAATTGCCTCATTTTAAGCTGATTACCTCTGTAAAAACCTATATCCAAATAAGGTGATATTCTGAAATTCTAGGTGTTAGAACTCCAATATACCTTTTTGGGATAGAGAAGGGATGCAATTCAGCTCATAAAAGCTGGCACTGGCTATTTTGAATGTTTAAGATATTATGCCTATCCTATAATTTTCACAAGTAAGCTGTCCTTTGATACTACACACACAAAAAAAAATCAGCTTGGTTTTCAGCCTGAATCAATATTGAAGAAATTCAGCAGCAAAAGTATAGAAGTTTCTTTCCCTTTAAACCAGTATTTCCTATTTATTGAAAAGACAAGTAGATATCTTAAAAACTGTCATCTACTATGCTGAATTATGACCCCAGCAATGTTTTAAGGCTTCAGCAAAAACCAGGCTTTCCGTGATGCTCTAATATAAACATAGGTATGGTTTCTCTGGCACAAATAAGCTTGCTTATAAAGAGAGTAGTAATTTTTTAATATATGCTTAGACTGGCCAATGAGAAGTCACTACATGCTATTTTGAATGTAGTCAGAAGCTGTAGATCAGTCTCAAATATTGAAATATTTTTTGAGCTATCAAACACATCTCATTAGTGCTCAGGCAATTTGGCAACTTACCTACTTCCTATCTCTGCTTCCACATAAATCTATTGATGGTAATCTTTGGGTCAACAGTTTTTCACTGATACAGTTGTGGATAGGATGGCAAAATTACATAATACCAAGAATGGCAACTTTTGTGAACAGAGTTCTACACTGAGAGGATGGGGGCTGAAAGCTGCTACTGATGTAAGGCCCTTTAATGTTTCCTGGTAGAAGACAGTATAATTTGGGATGGCCTGTTTGGAACATTCAAGATTATAAACTATTTTAGAAATAACTGAATCACATTGCAATACCCCATCAAATAATTCTATAGTTCTAAGAAAATGAAAGAATAATATTACAAAATAAAATTATATAATTTTAAAAATAATAGCTAATTTAGCAACAAATATGAGCTTGAACTTAAAGAAAATGAAAGTAACTTGAGTGTCTTTCTATTCTGTGAAAAGCTGTTGTTATTGGAGGCTTGCCCGTGTAAAATTTTTGATAAGATCTTGGAGGACACTATTTTTACTCAATAAATCAGTTATATGATTTTATTTGTTTTCAAATAATGTCTTTCAAAAATCTAAATAAATTATTTAAGGACTAAATTTTATTCAGTTTGAAATATTAACCAAACTAAAATGTAATATAGGTTGTTGATGCTAGAGTTCCTAGAATGAGTTTGGATAACTATTAAGCAATTTTAAAAATCATTGTACAAAGGCAAAATATCTGAATAATTTCTGGCTTTCAGTAATAAAAACGTATCTTTATACCTCTAGCCTTTCTGTGGTTGCTTTTGATGTTCCCATGCGCCAGAAAGGATAAATTTCCATTTTGTTCACATTTCCTATTTTCTACATAGTTCTGGCACCTGATTAACAATCTGAGTAGAAATGTGGAATTTGAGCAACTGCATAAATGTTGGCTCCGTTATTTAGTCTTGGCTTTGGATGTTTCTTAGTCCCTTCTAATTACATTCACAATAAATGGAAGTAATAATTCTCCAATTCAAAATTTTTGTTGAGGATTAAATGATAGATTCTTAAAGCTAGCGAAGTGTTTAATACAGAATACATTCTTAATAAGCATGTCCCTTTCATGGCTTACACCCTTCTTCATTTCCCTCTAACGTCCAGTCTGTCCAAATTGTCATCTCTACTGATCATCCACAGGACCCTCGTACCCATTGTTTTTTATCTTCTTGCTTTCCTAGATCTTAAAATTCTTAGGAAAAAAAAAATAGTGTCCTGGCTCCAAGTTTTTGTTTGTTTTGTTTTTTTAAATCACAAAAGTAAAAAAAATCCATGCATTCACTTTCTCCAGAAGGAGCGTAATGGTTTATTAGAACTTTAATTATGAAGTTCTCCAGAGTAATCTTGGCCACACTCAGCTTCCTGATTTTCCTATGAAAAATGGATGGCCCTGTAATACCTACCAGAAACCCACACCAGACTTGCTGCTAAACTTAGTTTAATAATATACCTTCCTGTGTCACTTCTTCTGTTAAATTTTTCTGTATTTGCTGAAACATTTCTGTCTCCCAACTTGCCATTTATAACCTTTCTGCGACTGATAAAGTGAATGAAATTTTTTTTACATCTTTAATGACAATCTTTGCAGTGACAAATCTCTATTTGATGACAATGTACTAACTGTGTTAATCATTATCACCTTCTTATTCCCACAACAATCCTGCAAGGCAGGTATTATTATTACCATTTTAAGTGTGATAAACCTGAGACTCAGGGAAATTATCCCCGATTACACAACAGATCAAATAGCTTTCATTTATTATAATTCTAGATCATGTGAAAATCCACACTCTCAACTTTATAATGTGTGTTCATCAGTCTGAGTCTCATCCTTACAACTGTGCTTTGAAATAAAACTCTTCTTGCTAAATTCAAGTAAGCTTGCAACAGCTCTCTCGCCTTAATCTTTCTGTAGCTGGCAAAGTTGATCAAATTATTAAGTTCCTAATCTTCTTTCTCCCAACTGCAGGCATTTCAATGCCCTCTTCTCCATTCTCTTTTCTTCACTCCTTCAATCTGGAGATCTTATTCATGTGCAGCATGTCAGGTCTTAGACCACTTTGATTACTCCCAAATCTTTATGTCAAGCTCCCATTCCTCAAAAGTAACACCCCATAGGGATGGTACCCTAAAGAACCACCCCAAAATGTCCATGTCCTAATACCTGTGAATATCGTAGTAATACCTGGCATGGCGAAAATAAAATTTGCAGATGTGATTAAGTTAATGATATTGAGATGGAAAGATTACCCAAGATTATCCACGTGGGCCTCATATAAAATAAAGGGTCCTTACAAGAGGCAGGTAGAAGGGGTAGACCAAGGATTAGGAGATATGACAAAAGAAGCAAGAGGTTGGAGTGATATTGGAAACGTTTATGATAACAGATTATCTTCTCAGAGCCTCCAGAAGGAACCAACTTTGCCAACACTTTGACTTTAGCTCAGTGAGACTGATTTGGGACTGAGTTTTGACTTGAATTTTATGATAATAAATTTCTGTTGTTTTAAGACACTCAGTTTTTAGTAATATGTTACAACATCAACAGGAAACTAATATTGTACCTAATTCTGAAGAGAATTTCCATCCAGATGAAAATCAATAGGTCTAAAATGAAACTACTCTCTGTCTCTAAAACCAACTGTTACAATCAATTCTTCTTACTTACCCCAGGATTCAAATACTTCCCTAAGTCTTTCTTACCTTTCCTTCATCCTGTCACTTTCTTTCCTTATCCTGCTTCATGACACTAGTTCAGGCACTAATCAACTTGTCCTGAGGTACTGCTGTAGAGAGTTTTAATCTGATTTCTTTTCACCACACTTTTCTACTTCAACTTATCAAGTAAGTTTACCTCAGTCTTCTTTAGGTTCCACATTTCTTCCCTGGTATAAGATTTTCAAATCCTGCTCATCATTTATCAAGTAAATTACAGATTCTTCAGTGGCTATCGAGGATCTATTTATTTTACATTAAACACATAAGCTTAGCCCACCCTCCAAAAGAAAAACAACATTCCTTTTTCTCTTGAAGTATATAATACTTTTACAGCCTATTTGTTTTAAATAATACTACAAAATTACTGTTTTATGTGTACAAGTGTTAATACTCATGTTAACTTGTAAGAATCTTAAAAAAAAAAGGGAGACTCTGTCTTAATAATCTTGGATTTCCTATGCCTCATTTTATAGCATGTTAAATGGAATAGTGTTGAATAATATTGATTAAGCAAAAGAATAAATTAGGGACAAAGCATGGCTATTTAATGGGTAATGGTAGAATTTATTCATTAATTTTTCTTGAAAGAAAATCAAGACAATATAGCTATTCAAAAAAGAGGAAAAGTTTTAACGATAAAAAACGATGCATAATTAAACACAAATGGACATATGAAATTAAATGGACAAAATTTTTCAATATGTGTGGTGTTATGTTTCACGTACCAGTTTATTTACAAATATATTAATACATTTTATGTATAATCTCAGGTAGTGCTAAGTACTGTGGAATAAAGCAATTAAATAATTAAAATATCTATTCCAAAGGCTCTTCTATCTTAGCAAAAATTCCTGGTTTCACCATTTAAAAGCACCTAAATTAGGGGAGCTTCAGTTAAAATGACCAGTAGTATCTCCCTTGTGACAAATACCTATTATTTTTATCAGATTCAAATTGTCTATAGTATTTTTGCACTAAAACTGAGATATAAAACATGTCAGTTTTGGGGATCTAAATTCTAGGCAGATCAAATAGGACATAAATGTAGAATCATACAGTAACTAATTCATTTACAGGTAACTACACATTTCATGCTTGAATTTCTTACATTTCCACCATAAACTTATACAGTCTATTTTTGTGCAATTCAAAAAAGCAGGAATTCATCTTCTCTAATGATTTTCCACATTACTCTTAAAAGAAATACTGAGCTTCCAGAATCCTTCTCATAAATTTAGACTCTCATTATTTAGGTCAAGAGAAAATTCAAATCAATAATATCACATCTCTGCAAACTTACAAGCCAATCTGTATAAGCATGAAAAAGAAAGCGTGGTATGTAGTACCCATGAATATAATTCAAACCCAGGCATGTAGGACGACCTACCACAGAAAAATTGATTACATCCTTTCACAAATGAGGCCTAATAGCCAAAGGTTTCTACTCTTTAGCCAGCTGCAAACTCAATACTTCATCCTTCTCTCTCTCTCTCTTATATAAGACTGTTTAAAATAGCTGTTCTCTTTCTTATTAAGAGGAATGTAGTTCACAATTGTTATTAGTTCAGATTATTGAAACGTGTTATCCAAACATGCTTATTGTATAGCGGGGTCACAGATTCTCTCACACTATATGAAGAAGTATAAATAAAAAGCATATTTTGAAATTTGTTTCTATAACTGACCAGATTTCTCTTGTAAAACCTGAAACTACAAATTAACAGGGCAGAGAAATTGAAAACTTATCTGTTCAGTAAACTGAATCCAATATATTAATTTTGCAGGCTTCTCTTGTGTGATTGTTTCTCAAATTTCTCCTTTATCTTTTTGTCTCAACACCAATTCTAAATGGAAGTTGCCTAAAGACTTACATTAATGGGGATTAAAGAAATCCCTTGCTTTTTCCTGGCATTGGTATTTAGATCTGCATTGGCTGGTGTCTATTCAGGTGGGACTATTATGGTCATGTTCCTGGAATTTCCTTTGGTCTAATAACAAAGATCATGGCTAGTGTAATGCATGTTCTATTTGCTCTATGCCAAACCAGATAAATTATCCTTGTGTGTTTGGCTCTCCCCTCAACCCATCCAAATTGTCAAAATTTTGGCTCAGAGAGGAAAAGTAAAGATACATGAATCCAACAACTTACTTTTCAGACCCAGACGTTCTTTTTCACCCCACAATTCACTTGCTCAGAAATTGTGTATCACTTGTTATGTAGGATTCTCTGAAATATATTAAAACTCTGTAATCTGACCATGAACCGTGACTCTAAGTTTGTTAAAGATGAAGGTATGCAATTTAGAAATAATGTTAGTATTTATGAAGCCCAGCCTTTTAAGACCTTATCTAACTAACATGGTCAGAAAAGCCAATTTTGAGATGAAATCTAGTTTTTGACTACTTTGTCTCCAAAATAAACTATTCTCATCTTCTATAGGGTGATATGACACATGCCATAGCTACAAACCTGCAGTGACTGTATTTAAGAAATGAATTAAAGTATTTTGAGTTAATATTTTTCAAATATTTTCACCCTTACCCTAATTTGACACTTTTTCATTGACCCTAATCAAGCATAAAAATTATTAATGGAAATCCTCACTGTAACTCTGAACAACATGTATTGTGACCCAGATTTTTTTATCTCAAAGGTGCCTAATAATGGCGATGTTTTATCTACTCATTCTATATCCAATAGGCAGTTGTATGAGAAACATCTTCAAATGATACACCAAAAGTGCTTCCACGAAGCATCAGTTTGAATCAGGCTATTCCCTCTTCCAATTCATATTGTGGAATATGTGTCATAAATTACCTCCAAAGTAAACATCCTTTAACCACTCCTTATGTGATATAGTGTTAAGGCACAATGGCACCATTGTTTTCATGCCTCTTATAGTGTGTTGTTTAAAATGAGGCTCCAATATCACCAGGATAAATTAGAAACAGAGTCATTGAAGAACAAAGTTACACTGACACTACCCTTAACATATACATTTAAGGTTATAATATAATTTACCTTTGATTTTTCCATTTCTAGGCATTTATAAAAACCTGTTGATTCACTACACATTTATTTATTTAACGAATAAACATTTATAGAAAGATTTACTTCTTCCACACACTGTGCTATGAATGGATGGTACAGTGGCAGGTAAAAACAGCTATGAGAAAGTCTAGAGGAAAATACAGACAGAAGCCCAGCCATTAAATCATGTAAGTTCATGTAAAAGTGCAATTGCACCAAAAGTTATGTATGTAGGAGTAATATTTGGCTTTATGAGTGCCTAAGAGTGGGATGTTTGATGTAATCAAGTAAATTAAGGCATGCTTTCCTAAGAATGATTATTGATCATACATCTAAAAACAACATGCTTAGTGGGTGAACATGGAAGGGAAGTATGACTTACATAGAGCAGCATGTGCAAGAGTACTGGGCAGGAGGGAGATTGTGGCTGAGAGGAGTGAGTAGACAGAGGGAAAACATGGTATGAAGTGGAAGTGGATAGGCAGGCAGCAGGCGGATCATGCCAAATGTTAAAGGCCTTGGTGGAGAGTATTGTCGTTACCCTGAGAGCAATGAGAAACTTTGAAGGGCCTTGAGTAAAGCAGGATTGGGAGCCGGTAATCAAATTGATACCAGATAGAATTTTTGAAAGAAAACATAAAAGTTTCATGAGTATTGTGAAAACAAATACAGGAGATATCTTTAACAATGGTTAATGATTATATTTATTTATCATTCAATATCCAATACTAAGTGATAGTGGTAACACTAGTATACATACATGCTTATCTGGTACTATTCTGTATGGGAAATGCTCTCGATACGTCATATTATTTCATCATCCTAACAACCTCATGTGAAGTGGCTCTTGTTATAATCATTTCACATATAAGAGAATTGAATCAAACAGAGGTTAAATAACATATTTAGCATCTAAATTCATAGTGAGCAATACACCAGTGTCAGAACCCTAATCTAGAACTCTTTTGGTTTATTGGTTTATTCTAGTTTAGTCAATAACCATATTCCAATCTTGCAAAGGATAGTTAGGATACATAGAATAAAGATTTTTTTTTCTGAGATTATTTTTCAGGTCTTAGAGTAACGTATTGACTTTGTAGGTACATTATTTGATAAATTTTTAGATCATCCTGCTTTTGACAGTCTTTATAGATAATTATGGATAGAAAAATAATACTTTTTGCTACTGAATTAATGAAATATCAAAACTATTTTTCTGAAAAATGTAAGAATTATGTTACTTCTATAAATCAAAACAGTGCTGAACTGATATTTTACAATTATTTTCAGTGGTACACTATAAAAAAATTGGAAATCTTAGTAGTAATTGACTATGTGTTTTGGAAAGCAATGACAAAAAGTGACACAACTCTTTATGTTATAGAGTTTTGTAGGAAACAATAGACAAGAAAGGAAGTCAGTAATTATTTTGTGATCTGTGTTATAAAGGTATAATTTTGTCAAATGACTAGAGTAATTTTCAATGGCTGGTGACATCTGAATAAATGTGTTTAGGAGATAGAACAAACGGTATGTTTCTACGTATTTACGGATGATTGTATCAGATGTTTTGGAGTACTATTTTAAATAAATTTTGTTAATTTTTTTCAAAGTTTTGAAACAATTGTAGATTCACTTGTATTTGTAAAAAATAATACAGAGAGATCCCTATATGTTTTATTTTATCTGGTTTCCCCCAATTGTAACATGCTGCAAAATTACAGCAAAATATCAGAACCAGGATATTGACATTGACAGTCAAGATCCAGAACATTTTCATTACCACAAGGATTCCTAATATTGCCCTTCTACAGATAGTTGTGTAGATACAACTCCTTCCTTTCCACCTCAGCCCACTTTTTAACTCCTGACAACTACTAGTCTATTCTACATTTCTATAATTGTATCATTTCAATAATTTTATATAAATGAAATAATAAGGTAATCCCTTTGGATTGACTTTTTTCACTCAGTATATTTCTGGAAATTCATCCAGATAATTCATCCAGACATTGCATGTATTAATAGTTTATTTTTTATGGTTGAATACTATTTTATGATATGAATGTACATATTTAGTTTAACCATTTACTAAGAAAAGGACATCTGGGTTATTTTTAGTTTGGGGCAATTGTGAATAAAACTCCTATAAGTATTCTTGAAAAGATTTTTGCATGAACATATGACTTTATTTTTCTGAGACAAATGACTAAGAGTATAATTGAGGTTATGGTAGTTGCATGTTAATTATCTGTATTTATTTTTAAAAACTGTCGAATTGTTTTTCAAGGTGTATGCATCATTTACAACCCCATCAACAATTTATGACATGCAGTTTCTCTACATCCTTGCCAACATTTGGTGTTGTCACTATGTTTTATTTTAGCTATTCTGATAAGTACTAATACACAGTAGTATGATATTGTGATTATAATTTGCATTTATCTAATGTTAATGATTCTGAAGATTTTTTAACGTTTATTTGCCATTTGTATATCTTTGTATTTTGCCCCAAATATATGTCCATGCCCTAATCCCTGGAATGTGTAAATCTTGCCTTATTTGGAATAAAGGCTTGTTGCAGATATGATTAAGATCTTGAGATGATGGGATCATTCTAGATTATCTATGTGGGCATTAAAGGCCATTCCTAATGTTCTTATAAGAGAGAGGCAGAGGAAGATCCCACAGACTGACAGAGGAAAAGGTTTTGTGGAAAGGAAGGATGATTTCCTAGTCATAATATACTTCTTCATTTATATAGCTCCTCTTGGATTCCTTTAATCAATGTTTTGTAGTTTTAAACATATGAAAGGTATTATACATGTTTTGTAGATTTATACCTAAGTATATTTTCAGTAACTGAAAAGATAATGTATTTTTTATTTAAGTGTCCAAGTGTTTATTGCTAGGATATTGAGATACAATTGATTTTCATATAGTTATCGTGTATTCTTTTGGCTAGCTAAACTCATTTATCCGTTTTAGAAATTTGTTTTTATTGTTGATTTCTCTGGATTTTCTACATAAACAATTATGGCATTTGCATATAGAGACAGTGTTTATTTCCCCCTTCCTAATCTATATATATATATATTTTTTTTTTTTGCTTATTGCACTGTCTGAAACTTCTATCATTATTTTTATTAAAAGAGATAAGAATGGACATCCTCGCCTTGTCCCTGATATTAGGGGAGATCATCTTGTCTTTCACCATTCAGTATAAGATTAAGTGTAAGATTAATGCTAGTTGTTTTTATTGTTGCTGTTTGTAGATGTTCTTTATCAAGTTCAGAACATTCTCCTTTATTCCTATTTTTCTGACATATCAAAAAATCATGAAATGAGATTAAATCTTATCACTTTTTTTCTGCATCAGTTTATATGATCATGTGACTTTTCCTTTTTATTTTAGTCAAATAATGGATTACATTGGTCATTTTTCAAATATTGAACTAGTTTTCCAACTCTCCAGGCTGTGGCAACTAACGTTCTACTCTGCTTCTGGGAGTTTGACTGTTCCACATATAAGTGAGATGCTGTGGTATTTGTGTCTGTGCCTGGCTTACTTTACTTAGCCTAGTGTCTTCCAGGTGTACCCATGTTGTTACAAATGACAGGAATTCTTTTTTTAAATTTTTAAGTATAACATTAGTATAATGTTGTGTATTTATGCCACATTTTTTTTTACCTCTTCATTTGTTGATGGGCATTTAGGTTGATTCCATAACTTGGCTATTGTGAAAAATGCTGCAATGAACACGGAAATGCAGCTATCTCTTTGACTTAGTGATTGCAAATCATAAAGATATGCCCAGAAGCGAGATTGCTAGATCATAAGGTAATTACATTTTTAGTTTTTGAGGAATCTCCATAAAGTTTTCCATAATGACTGCACTAATTTATATTTCTACCAATGCTATAGAAGTGTTAGCTTTTCTCTGTTTGTTATTTCCGGTTTGTTATTTCCAGGTGGAGAGAGAGATTCTTAGTTCCCCCTCAGCCTCTGTTGATACCCCAAGAGAAGGGGATGTTCTTCCTTACTTTTGTTTTGGGGGGGTAGGAATTTTGGCTCATCATGTGGGGTTCACTGATGCCAGAAGGGACCTCATTGTTGGTTAGCTGGCATTTAAACCCTGATATTCTAGTTGGCTTTCTCTGATGGCACACCAATGGGGGTGTTGGGTTGCCTTGTTACAGATTCATGAGTGTGGTTGTCTAGGCTACCTGCTTGGCCTTTGCTGGTGTGTATGGAATGAGGCTACAGTCATTTCTTTTTTCTCCTATGGTGTTTGTCTGGTGTAAAATGGTTAATATAAAAAAAACCCTGCCTTTCTAGGCTTTTTCATTAATGGTCTTTTGGCTTCAAAGTACAAAATTTTGTTCAGGTCTTACATTTTCTTATTACTTTTTAATATTGGCTATGGTTGTTGCCATGTTTGAGGTAGCCAGTTTTTTTTTCAACCCCAATTCCTAAATATGTGAGAAAATAGAAAGCCAAGAAATTCATAGCATTGAATTCCCTGGCCTGTGTGACTTCTCTCCACCTTTCAGAGGCTTATTTTGTTTGTTGGTTTATAGCGAATGCTCAGGGTTTTTGTTTGTACAGGTTGAGTATCTCTTATCTGAAATGTTTGGGACCAGAAGTGTTTCAGATTTTGGATTTTCTTTGAATTTTGTAGTACTTGCATCACACTTACATGTTCACCATTCCTAATCTGAAAATCCAAAATCTGACATTTTCCAATGAGCATTTTCCTTGAATGTCATACCATTGCTCAAGAAGTTTCAGATTTTGGAGCATTTCAGATTTCAGATTTTCAAATGAAGAAAGACAACCTGTACTTAATGAGAAGAATAGGAGAAAGAATGTGACTGACAGAAATATGTAACTGCTAAATGCATTTACATAGTGCTTGTGGCAATTATATCTTACAGTTTTCAGATTTTTTTTTGAAAAAATTCTGTATCTAATTTCACAGTAAAACAATTTATAATTAGTTGTCATTGACATATTCTTTCTTCCACTGTTGATCCAGTAGGTCTATGTCCCACACTTGAGAACGTTTGGTATACACAAGCTTTGTTTGCTGCCATTTATAGTAAGCTGAACTAATTTAATAGCATTCATTTAACACCAGCCAGTAAATGAGGAACGTACATATTTTAGCTATGTTACCAATGGCATGTAAAAATCAAAGGCAATAACAAGAAAAGCAGCAATGTAAAAAGCCCAAGTGATCCATAAATATGTTATGTTTGGATCACCAATACATTGATATTCACACTCATATGCCTAATCACACACACTCACACATGTAAATATACACACCTCTTGCACACTTTCCATCCAAATTAGGACCATTAAAAGGCAGATACCATTATATAATGTAATAGAATTGAAAGGTCAAGAGCTTTGGAATAAGAAAGACATACATTTTATTCCTAATTCCTTCATAGATTATCTGGGTGGCTTAAAAGAAGCTAGATAATATTCTTGAATCTCAATTTCCTTGTTTGTACAGATATCAGAAATATAAATGACATTCACATACCTTTGCAAAATACCTAAAACAATGCCTGTCACACTAAAGACAGTAAATAGTAGTCCTTTTCCCTCTTTGTGCCCTTAAAAATACAGTTCAAGCTGTATATTCAAAAACTTAACTAGAATATTTGGAATAAGAACTCATCCCTTAGTTGTCCCTGAGTTGTTGTAAATGTCATAAACACGTTCAAAGAAAGTGAGCGAAAGTTGATGAAAACAACAAAAGCAGACTTTTAGAGGTAGGCAATCCTATGCTGTACAGTCAGGGAGAATTTATTGCCATAGCCCACACTACTTAAATTGCAGAGGCAGAGCTAAAACCATAAGTGGCCAGACTCCCAAACCAACGCTAAAAACTATGGGAAACGTAAGCTACATACATCTGATTTATGAAATGTTTAGGCCACTTACTGATGTTAAATGTATGCCATTAATAATAATGAATGATTACTTACAATTCTTCAACTTTATATTTCAGTGATATTGTTAAAGTTGGTTTGACAGCAAGGAAATATTTACAGTATTTGCAAGCATAGTACCATATATTCACTAAATATTTTGTGATGAAGCTAATGACTAAGGTGAGCATAATGAGCACACATAAAAGCAAATTGCTTTTGTCTCATAAGGCAAATGATTATGGAGGCTAACAAATCTAAGACGTTGTTTTCCCTTTTATATTCTAACTACTTCTGCGAGCACTTTGTATTTCAGTCATTTTTGTTCATGCATTAATATGACCCTTTTCATTATAAAATTATTATCTAGTATAAAGAGAGCCTTTTTAAGTCAGACATAATTCAGATGTTAGCACTACATGTACTCTAAAGTGAAAACTGTTGTTCTATTTTATTTTCATCTTAGACACAAAGTGATAAGTGAGTAAATAGATTCCCAGTTAACCAGCCAGATCAGAAGAATTAGTCTGGACATCAATCACCTTCATGTCCACACCTTAAATATATGAAAAAACACAATTATAAAATGTTTAAAATGCAAGATGTAATCAATAATATGCAAACATTAAACTGAAAAGTCATTTATTTTATTTGTTCATAGATCTGAATCTATAGCTTCTTCCATTCCACAGTCTTGTTGATATCTTTTCTATCACTTGTAAAGAAGATTCTGATTCTATTTTTGACTTTCAACTACTGACAGCTTTCAAGTCCCACCACTTAACCTTCCTCTTCTACACTATATCTGGGCAATTTGATAAGAAAGACTGATTATTTCCTCCTTTGACACCAGTGGATATTTAAACAACCCAAGCTCCAGTTCAGAAGCTGCACCCCAGCCACATGCTCAGTCACCATCATACCCTAAGCCAGTAGCCCCTCCCTAATTTATCAAGACATTTTTGGACCTGCTTGCCAGAAAATATTATTTTATTCTCCTGATGCATGTGTGGCATCATTTTTCTCAACGTCAAAACCAATTTTAGGATCCATCCTACCTCTGTGGGATGATGACAACCCACTCAATTTGATTTCTGTAGTAATAACATAGGTACAATTCGACTAATGAATTTGTATTGTTGGCTAGTAAATGCAATCCAAATCATCATTTGTTTCCCAGGAGTTAGGCTATATTCCCTCTTTTGTAAATTTAAATGTAAACTTCAATTTATGAGAAAATTGATGTCATTAAATTTCCTCCAAATAGTAAGTTAAGTCCTTCTATTCTGAAAAAAATAAAAACATCTGAAAATTAATTTAATCATGCTTTTCTTTTGCACCAGGAGGAGAGTAGTAATAACTGAAAGAATAAAAAATGAATATGAATGAATTAAGAAAATGAGGCATTATACAGCCTGTATATATACTCACGTATGTCTAGTAAAATCAGTATATAAGATGAACATAGGTAAGTACAAATAATTATTGCTAGTTTAAAATAAGAAAGGAAATGCTTTTGTCTGACAATAAATATGTAGTTTACAAAGACTTTCTCCAAAGAAACCAGTGATGAAACATAAGAACAAAAAAAGTTATAGGTCTATGACATTATAAAGCCTGGATACATTACTTTAAGCTATGTTGAAAATAAATTAAAAAAAAATTTCTTCTTTTCCCCTCTATTTTCTTCCTTCTTCATTTTTACATGTATGAATCTTATTCCATGAGTGACCTGTACCCACTTACTGGACAATGCAATAAAAGAATAAGATTTGTAGTCTTTGACCTGTTGCAGTTTTCCTCAAAACCATTCTCATATTAAGTTTTAAGAGATTTTACAAATAAACAGTAAATTTTAAAGCAGCATTTTGTTGTTTAATATATCACCGATAAATACATATGAGTAAGCAAAGTTCAGATCATAAGACCAATATTTTAAAGCAGACATGTGAATGCAATCTAATAAGATTCCAAACAAATCCCTCATTTAATTCAAACTTTAAAGATTAGTTCAAGGGTTCTTACTCCCGTGTTTTCTAGTCTTCCTCCTCCATTCAACATCAACACTAATGTGTCTGTCTAGCCAGGTATGCCCAGCACTTTATATTGCCTTGTCTAAACGAATGATATCTCTTGGAAACATCTGATATACAAATATATAAATATGTTAACAGTGATTATGTGAATAAAGAAGACCATAACTTTACTCCCCTACTTTCCTGGTTCTAACTCACATCAGTAAACTTTGAAATAGAAAAGGACAAAATCTCTTTCTTTTACTTCTTCTCCTTTTCTATTTCATTTTCTACAACTTCTCCTTCTGTTGCTAAGAAAAAAAAAGAATTGCTGCTAATATTCATTCAACTTATAAAGTTTAAATGAAATAATATGTTTAAAAGTTTTCCTTTGTGTTTTCTTAAATAAAGAGACTGTAGTTCCTAAAATCTCAACAAGATTCCCTGATAGTATTGAAAGTCAAAGAAGTTAAGGGGAGGTCAGGGCAAAATATAAATGTGAGAAACCACTGGCTATATTAAAATAAACCTTTTCTTGTCACATAGTGGCTTTGCTATTGAGCCAATCTTGATTTGACTGATTTCACCTATTCTCAGGATCAGTTAGTTCCACATTGTAAGATGTCAACAAACTTGGCTAGCTGTAACATTATGTCAGATGTTGTCGACGTTTGTTTGAATTTTTGCTTACTGTAAATATGGGATGTGTGTGTATATATATATATATATATATATATGATGTGTGTATGCATGTGTGTATGTATATATATGTAAAATTTTACACATTGACTTTTAGAAAAGTGCTCAATGATGTTCAGATATTTATGAAAAAAATTATTGAATGGATTTCATATAAGAAGATAATTTTTAGATTTGAACAATTGTTTTTCAAGTTGTTGCTTTCTACTTTAGATCAAAGGTAGGACATGGAGAGAAAAGAGGGTGATATTTTCAAACTTTAACTTAGATATTAGTCTAAGAATTGTGAAATTTGTAAAATAAAGATAATTGATATTTTAAAAGTTCAAGAATATGAGTGGTTAAATAGCCACTTGTTTTGCTTTGTAGAAAATTTGAAATTTAGACTGAGAATTTGAGAAATAAATGATTTTTTAATCAATTTTACTTTGGAATCCCTTATACATTTTACTCCTCATAGCACTCCATAAACGGAATTGTCATACTTATACCTAGTTGGTTGTGGGGAAAAAAAATACCAGTACATCTTTGCCAGGAGTTGAGGTTGGGAAGATGTTTTAGGAGCTATGAAAGTTCTCAAACATTCATTGCATGATCTTACCTCTAAGGACTGAGTCAAAAAATAAGGTGAGAAGAAAAAAAACAACTAACATGTAACATGTACATCATAATGTTTTTCATGTTAAAAAATGATTTGATTGAAATAGAAATTTGGAATATCATCATGACATGTGATATAATGGAGGAATGAAGGCTCTAAAATTGTACACATATGGCTTAAATATCTCTTTTCAGGGTAAAGATAGAAATAGATAAAATTATAGAATACATTGTGAAGGTAATAGGATTTTAATAACAAAATCTTTTAGTTTTGTATATATAGTAGAGTGTGTTGAATGTAAAATAAATTGTATTGCTATAACTGTATGAGAAAAAATGATTTCATTCATTTCAATTTGGCACTAAGGAGGCTGTCTTCTTACTTGAGGAGTTGTTCCCTGAAGTGATATGCAAGAGGACAAAAAGTTTTAGGGTATTTCTTATCATGAGGACCTAAGCCAACCATACATTTATGTCAAAATGCAGGTGTAGTTACACATGTGACTAAAAGTGGGTGAGTGAGAGTATTTCCATTGAGAAAAAGGAATTAACCATGAATGCAGTTGGCTGGTGAGTGAGAGTATTTCCATTGAGAAAAAGAAATTAACCACGAATGCAGTTGGCTTATATAAACTTAATCTGGGGCTTCCGAATCCTTGGGAGTAACTGAGAAGATAAATTAAGCTCTAGAATCCTGGGCAATATTCTAGTCCCAACAGCCACCTACAGTAAAAGATGATTGGAGGTTGGATGCCTATCAAGCCTGTAGGATTACAAGAGGAAACTGTCAGCTAAATATCTTAGCACCACTAATAGACCTGCTACAGGGTCAGTTCACTCTGCCATAAAAAGCTAGCTGCAATAAACTATTTTTGAATGGAGAAGCATCTGGCATTTGAAGACATCAGAGAAGCTGCCTCTTGAGTTAGAAGTGAGTTTGAGGACTGATATTGTTTGGCACTGTATCCCCACCCAACCTCACCTTGAATATAATCCCCCATTATCATCACGTGTCAAAGTGTCAAGGGTGGGACAAGGTGGAAGTAATTGGATCATGGGTGTGGTTTTCCCCATGCTGTTCTCGTGATCATAAGTGAGTTCTCACAAGATCTGGTGATGGTTTTATAAGCATCTGGCATCTCCCCTGTTTGTACTCGCTCCAACCTGCCACGCTGTGAAGAAGGTGACTGCTTCTCTTTTGTCTTCCACCATGATTGTAAGTTTCATGAGGCCTCCCCAGCAATGTGGAACTGAGTCAATTAAATCTCTTGTCTTTATAAATTACCCAGTCTCAGCTATTTCTTCATAGCAGCATGAGAACAGACTAATACAAGGGCAAACTGCACTATTGGACAGAAATGAGGGCGGATTGAGGTAGGATTTCCATAAAGAGAAAGGGAGTGTAGAAAACTCACACCACTCAGTGGAGAAAGGCTGAGGTTACCATTTTCCTTCCACAGGACATTATGTATACTTGAAGAAACAGAACGTACAAATAACCAAATGACTGCTCTGAAGAAGTCTCAAGTCCGCCACAGTCTTCTTAAGGTAACAACAGAGTTTCTGAGCAAAAGGGCTTTCTGCCCGATCTGCTAGAAGCCAATGTTGTGACACTGTTTTTTTTTTTTTTTTTTTTTGGAAAATAAAAGCTTTTTTATTGTAGCTTGACTAACACTCTGGCTCAAATTCATCTCCTTGTGCTGGATTGCAGGCAGTATTTTTATTAGAAAAGTTTTAGCGGGTGGATTCTAGGCTTAGGTGACTGGTGGAAGGAAAGGGGAGATCTAGAAAGGCCTCAGGCATTCAGTTATCTTTTCATGCTTGCTCATGGCTCACATGTGAAAATTCAGGGTAAGTTAGTATGAAACTTGCAGTGGAAATATGGGCTGTCAGGTCAGCAAGCTCATTCTACACATTCTGCACAGTTTCTTTTTTATCTGCCATCCTGTAAGCTCCAGAATTTCTGTTAGTTTATTTAACTCTTTGGGGCACAGTTTCTACAGTACCATCCATTTGCTCTCTGAGTGAACGCTGCCACCTTTTATGTTAGTTTATTTTCTTCTGCACCTCTCCTTTCTGTGCTAATCTGGAAAGTGAAGGGTAGAATGAGAAAACCACAAAGGAAAGGCAGATGCAACCGAGAAAATTTTTGCCCAAAGTGAGACTACAATTTCTCTTTAACTATTAAAGGGCTATTAAAGGATCAAACATGGGACATCAACATAAATTTTCTTCAGTGAGAGCCAGTATAATAAAACTAAAAACTGTATATCATGGGGGATAAATGAGACAGAAAGAGAAACAAGAGAGAGATTGATTCATTTTATTCTGATTTTGAATCATATCATGTCTATTAGGCTATTTATTTTACTTTCTCAGGAAAAATAAAAATGCCTTAACTAAAGAGTCACTCTATTAGAAAGAGAATGTGGTAGAATAAGGGGAATGGCAAAAGACACACTGATTGTTGATTTGGGGAGTACGTGAAGCTAAGGAAACCGTTGGACTTGCTGGAAGCAGAAAAGGCTGATAGTAATTAACTGTCAGAGGAAAAAATTACTGTCAACCTGGGAGTCACCAGTGGTGAAGGAAGATAGAGTGGAGCACACCTAAGGGTTCTATGTGCTGTGTACGCTCAGGAAGAAGCCCTAACATTTCCAACCCAGTCTAGAGCCGTGATCTGGCCAACAGGGCTCAACACCTCTGACAAGTTTTCTAGCCATGGTGGCTAGAAAATAAAGAAGCTTAGAACAGAAGAAACTTCTCTTTTCCCTGCCAATACCCAACTTTCACAAAGCTGAGATCTACTTAGGAAGTCTGTAGCATGGTGCCTAATAATTTGCAAATATTTAATATCCGCGCGTGTGTGTGTGTATGTATACAAAATGTGTTTTCCATTTATTTCTTCTCAGTTAACTTGACAACAATTTGACCCCCATGCTGTATCTTCTGGGGGTATCCTGATCAGAAACAAAAAAATGTGAAGATTCTTATTCCTTTTAATTCCCATAATACCTGCACTTTTCCTTGATCTCACCCTAATGGGAGCAGGTGCATACAAATGTATTGTATGCAGGCCCAAATGGTAATGTGTAGACAGACAATTTAGAGGGAGTATGTAATACATAAGAAGTTTTTGGTGCTCTGAGGGTCATTCTCATACCCACCCCCCACCCATAAGTGGGCTACATGTCTTCCACCTCCTAAATGCAAATGTAAAAGAACAACATGGAGCAAAGAGCATAAATGGCAACTGCCTCTCTTGACAACATATCATCAGCTTCTCTAAACTCAAAGGTGGAAAGACAGTGAGAAGAATTGCCTCAGGTGAATGACATCACTGTTACCATCTCTATCTCAGTTTCATAAAGGGATGTACAGGGAGGAGGAAAGAAGGTGGCTTTCATTTTGAGAAAAGGTAAACACTTGAGGATTAGCAGGACATTCTTAATCTGGACTAAGCAAACTTGATGAGTTAATTATAGATGATTCTATATCTTGGGTCATCAAGTAAAGAAAACTTCAGCTCTTTTTTTCCTCTAGTTTCTTATTATACTGAAGTTTTCATGTGAACTACTAGGGATAATATAGTTTTACCCAAGGAGGAACCATTTCAAAAATGGATCAAGATCATCTTGACACTAAACCTTATTGCAATCTATTTTGCATAACTACCTTGAGTACAAAAGGGGCATGCCAATCAACACAATTTATAAAAACAGGCTACAAAGAGAATAATTCTAGAATGCTTGACAGAAGGAATCAGAAGACCCATGGGTTATATGGCGGCCAGGGAATATGGAAAACATGGCTATGATTTATAATTGGGACTCTGGATAGTTAAGTCATTCAAATAAATCTGGATGTCGTAAAGCATTTTGAGGTCAACATAGTGTAGAAATGTCATTCGGGAATTAATTGTGGAGTCACCTTGTTCCCTAAACAGTCTTTTTAGCAGGGCCATCTAAAACATAATCACAGCTATGGGATTTGGGACAAGTCATTCCAGTTGCTCTGTGGGTAGGTGAAATAATAAATAATTGTCCACCAAAAATGAAGGTAACATGAAAGTCACATGTAAAGGGTAAAATAAATCAAATATAAAAACTTGCTACATAGACTGTGTGATATATAGTCTAAGGATATGTCCTGAGAAATGTGTAGTCAATTTTGTTGTTGTGCAAACTCACAGAGTATACTCACACAGACCTAGATGGTATAACCTACTCTACACCTAGGCTCTATGAGAGAGCCTACTGCTCCTAGGCTACAAACCTGTATAGCATGCTACTGTACTGAATACTGTAGGCACAGTGGTAAATATTTGCGTGTCTAAACATATCTAACTTAGAAAAGATACAGGAAAAATATGGTATAAAAGATTAAAAAGGTATACTTGTATAGAGGACTTGTATTAGTCTGTTCTCATGCTGCTAATAAAGACAAGCCCGAGACTGGGTAATTTGTAAAGAATAAGATGTTTAACTTACAGTTCTACATGGCTGGGGAGGCTGCACAATCATGGTGGAAGATGAAAGAGAAGCAAAGTCACATCTTAATGGTGACAGGCAAGAGAGCTTGTGTAGGGGAACTCTCATTTATAAAATCATCAGATTTCATGAGACTTATTCATTACCAGGAGAACAGTGTGGGGGAAACTGCCCCAATGATTCAATTATCTCCACCTGGCCCCACCCTTGAATTTAGGGATTATTACAATTCAAGGTGATATTTGGGTGGGGACAAAGCCAAACCATATCAGCAGTTAACATGAATGGAGCTTAGAGGACTGGAATTTGCTCTGGGTGATTGAGTGAGTGAGTGGTGAATGAATGTGTGGAACCAGGACATTACACTGCTGTAGACTTTATAAACACTGCAAACATAGGCTACACTATATGTTTTTAAAATATTTTTCTTTCCTCAGTGATAAACTTAACTTACTATAACTATTTATAAATTTTTGATTAAAAAACACTTTGACTCTAGTTATAACACTTAGCTTAGAACGCATTTACTGGTTTACATATTTAACATATAATAAATTATGTATATACATTGTACAACTGTATAAAATATTTTCTAAGTATATCTAAGTATTTGTAAATATTTTTTCTAAGATATTTTTCTATTTTTTAATTTATATTTACTTTTTAAGTGACTTGCAGCACATTAGGTTTGTTTGCATCAGCATCACCACGAACACAGGATTAATGAATTGGGCTATTATGTTAAGATGGCAATGATTTTGTCACAAGGTGATAGAAAGTTTTTAGCTCCATTATAATCTTATGAGATCATTATAGTATATGTGGTACATAGTTGATTGAAATGTTATTATGCAGTGCATGACGGTATTCTGTATGTATGACACACACACACACACACACAAATACATATATATAGCTCACCAACTTTTGCAGTCATCACATTAGAAGCTAAGAATGTACTTTCTGAAATTTAACCTAAGAATTGCTTTTAGGTATTAACAGGATTAAATATGTTCTTTTCCTCATTTGTTCTCTATGTCTGGTTTGAGATACTGGTCTCTACTCTCATTACAGTACTCCAGGGACACTAGATGCATAAAGAAATTATTAGAGAAGAGTTCATAATTTAATAAGGAACAAGAATTTTACAAGAAATATGTTTACGAATAAAAACCTGAGAATCACTCTTTAAATGAGAAGCAAGGATAGTAGAAACCACTGAGATAATAAATGATCAGAGGAGAAAGAAGACGAGTGGACAAAGCGGAGGGAAGGGACGGGTAAAAGGCAGCAGTTCTAGGAGAGAGAATGAGCAGTGATGCCTCTGGAGGAGAGGTAGGGCTCTGTCTTTAGAATAGAGTTGAGCTATGTGCACAGACTGACCCTCTTGCTGGAAGTACTGGGCCAGTGTATAGGGACAAATGGGGATAGCCTCTGCTAATAATCTTCACAGAAGAAAGGAGAGATGGCAATTCCTTTTGTCCAAATGGCATTCCCAGGGATGAGAAATGATGAATAAAATATATTTTATCTCTCTTCAGATAATACATGCTTAGGAAATTTAATAGTAGTGAATGAATAATGCTAAAGCCTAGAAGTGAAAGTTGTAGAGAAATGGAGAGAAGCCCAAGAACCAAGCAAGCAGCAGACGAGATGCCCACCATTGCCAATTTGAAAGTCTCTCCTAAGTGGGAAAATTAAGCCTATGTAGAGATCTGATTTTAGCCCAGCCTGAGGCTTCCACCACTGATTAGAAGGTTTATTCTGGTCCGAGCATTTTCCTGGAAAAAGCTCGGAGGACTTGGCTTCCCTATAGGTGTTCATATCAAGTAAAAACATGAAATTACTGGCCTACACATACTTACAGTTGAGCAAGGCAATTGTTTCTGAGAATATGTGATCTAAGTATTTCTTCAGAGCTCAGAATTAAAGCAGGTTCCCTGGAAATGTCAGATGTGTCATTGAATGAAGAGTTGTCTACTTTGAATAGCTAATACCCAGGTGAAACTAGATATTCATGTGAAAATCCATAGAATTCCTTAATCTTACACTTTAGTACCAGTTCTAACAAAGAGTTTTGAGAAACAGTTCCTGATAGGAGGAGTGAAAGCACTGGACAATGTCATCTATGTCCACGAGTGCTTTACTCATAGATTTGAGGTTATCTTGAGCCCCTTTGAAAGAAAAATAACTCTCAATTATTTTTTGCCTCTTTCAAAGAGTCTTTGAGGATTTCTGAGAGATTGGTCACTTGGAGGTTTGCCTGCTTCATGCATGCCTTCCATTGTGTATATGATCAACATAATGAAGGCCTAGAAGTCAGAATGTAGCTGGAAACCAAGAAAGCATATGAAAAAGACAACCTTGTTTGACTGATCCCTCAGTGTGGAGGGCCTTAAAGGATTCCCTGTCTTGTGGTGTCCCACTGCCCTCAGATATGTGAGCAGGCCCTGGTACAATAAGAATAAGGGACTTATACTTGGTATTTTCAAGTTATCTCTGGTTGCCTGGACCCAGGAATAAAGACATATAACCTTCCTTGGGAAGAAGGCCATGATATCTCCAGGTGGGAAAAGCACGGCCCAGGTGTCTCATGGTATGAAGGCTACAGAGTGGCTCTGGGCCTGTTCCTAGTAGAGTTTGAGCCTATGAACAGATTATCTTTCAGACTGGTTAATATACCTTGGAGTAGGAGAAAATTAATCCAACTTTAGTCTAACAACAATAATTTTCCATAATTAACTTCTGTGGGACCCAGTTCTCTTAAGCATTCCAGCATTCATCACAGTTTCAGAAAGGGTCAAGTTTGTTAGAGTTCTGCCCATATCCAACTTGCTCTGAGATTTGTGAGTAACATGTTTTATCTTTGACATTTTTTGAAATAGGGTTAGAAATGGGATTCTGGTCATCTAGGAAAATATCACATTCCATAAAAAGGCCATAGAATCTGCATCTGGAAACCATAATGGTTTAGAAGAGCAGAATGTAAGCCCTGTATCCAGCAAAGAAGAACAAGAGCTCTGTAATAAGACACTATTGACTAAAGATTCAAATGCTTTTACTACCTATAAAAACTCACACAGTTCAGTTGCTTTCCTGTTCATCAGTGTTTTTATTTGCAAAATGAAGGCTAACATACGTGAATGATTGTTGTGAAATTTTTTACATTATATTTCTAAAATATTTAGTAGAGTATATTGCATATAGTATATTTCCAAAATGGAAGTTATTGCTTTATATGCCCAAAATGTTCTACTGAGTGTTATTTCCAGAAATAGTTCTTATTTCACAATCATTTTGATAATGTAAGATCCATTTTGAGGTGCAAACAAAGATGGTGCTATAGATACATGGAAGGTTGTCAGATGAAACTTGCCTGAAGATTCTTGTAAAGACGGACTTGAAGAAATAGAAACTGAAGTCAGAGAAAAATATTTGTAAAATCAGAGTCTTATTGAAAGATTGATCAAGGAACAGAGGAACTTACAGGGTGTCAAATGTTCATACGCCATAAAGGAATTCAAGTGAATTTGTCACGTGGATAAGCACAGCAGATGATGAGCTCATTGTCAATAAACATTCACATACAGGCTAGATGGCTTTGTGAGGAGAATGGTATTGAACTAAGCAAGTGTTAGAAATTAATATTTAAGCCTTTTACTTTATTGTATAAATTATATATAGGATAGACTGGCCACTAAGCACACCATCCAGAAATAATCATTAACATTTTAATGTAGATATATATTTTATGAATTATAAGTCAGCCTATACATATTTTATGATCCACTTTTAATTCACTGAATATAACTTGTACATATTAAGGGAATTTAACATTCCTCATAAGAATCACTTTAATTCCTACAAAGTATTTTATTATGTATTCTATCACTGAAAAATTAGTGCTGTCAGTGTATTACCACCCTACTAGAAAAACACAGTTACGGTCCCTGCTCTCTAAGAACTTACTTATATTCTATCATGGAAGACTAAATATGCAATAAGTTGAAATATTTATTAGTTAAGGAAATGAAAATTAAAATCAAGATTAGATACCATTGCACACCCACTCAAGGAGTTATAATCCAAAGACCACACCAAGTGTGGCGAAGTGTAGAAGAACTAAAGCCTTGATGTTGGTGGTAATATAAAATGGTACAACCACTTTGAAAAACATCTTAGCATTTTCTTAAAAAGTTCAACATAATATAACCATACAACCCAATAATATCACTTCTACACATCTATACAAGAGAAATGAAAGTGTATGTCTACACAGAGACTTGTGTAAGTGTTCACAGTATTATTTGTTACAGCTAAAAAGTCAAAACAATCCAAATGCCAATCAAATGGTGAATGGATAACATGCGTTATAGTCATATAATGAAATACCATTCAACAATAAAAAGAAACAGAAAACCATATGTGCCACAACATAAATAAAAAAAACTACACACAAAAATATTTCTGTTTTGTTTATATTAAATGTCTGGAAAAGACAAATTTATTAATATAGAAAGTATTTTTTTGGAGCCGAGAGTGTAAGCTAGGGTTGATTGCAAATTGTCTCAGTGTACTTTATGGAGGTGATTAAAATGTTTTGAAACTGGTTTGTGGTGATGGTTAGCCAATTCCACAAATTTGCTAAACATTTAATTGTACACTACTATGATGGGATCCTTTTTGGCACATTTCGATAAAATTGTTAACACTGATCTAGGAAAAAATGTACTCAGATAAATAAAATGAGTGAAATAAATAGTCTACTGTGATGAAGAAGTGAAGGGTAGAGGGAGATTTAGGTACAGCTCTTAGAAAATGCCTCCTTGCTGAGGAAGTGGCTCCTATACTGAATTCTAAACCATAAGATGAGTCAGAGCTGTCTCTCTGTGGAACTGGGATAACAACATACTAGCTAAGTTCACAGATGCTGGGACACCATCCCACCCTCTATCTTCTAGGTATTTGATCCTGGGCAAGGTCCTGACATGTTCTGTGCCTCTGCAGAGTGAGTAATGAAATGCATTTTCTGACACATGGAAAAAAAATGTCAGCTGTTATTACCCAATCATATATGTTGGTCAGTTGAAATAGTTATCATGCTTCAATGAGTAGTTTTGTAGTTAAATTTATGTACATATCCCTCATTCTTTTCTCAGGACAAATTCATAAAGGTAAAACTGAAGTTCATAAGAATACACATGCTTAGGGTACTTGCCATCTCTTCATATATCAGGATATGCCAATTCACATTACCTAAGTCTGTGGAGACTGAGATGAACTTTAACACACCTTTCAACAAGAATTATATTTTGACCTGTGCAGAAAAAGCCTGCTTCTGCTTCACATTTGTATACTGCAAACCACCTACTATAATGGTTTGCACACTGTCAAGGTTGACCTGGAACCTGAGCGAATTTATTTGGTGGCCAGAAGTACATAGACAGTTTGTGCAGCCTTGTAAAAAGTTTCCCACTTGGAGGTTTCATCCTTGAGGTGAAAGGATGAAGGCAAGACTCTGTCAGCCAGATTGTCAATTTAAGAGAGAAAATAAGGTAGACACTGTAGATGACTAGGTGTGTAGAAAGGGCATTATCTCACCAAAACAAACTCTTAGTTTCCCTGGGATGTATTTTTAATCAGTCATAAATAGGGAAACATTTTATGCTTTTAAGATAGTTTGGTGTTCGAAAGTAACAAAAAGATAAGTCAGTTATAATTAAAATTTAAAAAATCATTAGTTGATAAAGCATTAGAAGTCCCAATGTTGTGTTAGACACAAATTTGGAGATGAATGAATATGCGCTGATGTAGTTACCAGGTCCTCATGGTGCCCACATAATCATGTTAGCCTGAAGCATAATTATGAAGGTAGAAAACATGTCTTTTGAGTTCCAGAGCACATTTTTAATTACCTCTTTGTCACTAGTGGCTCTTTTCCTGCACAGATGTATGCTGGCCTCCCACCCTCCCTTTTGCCATTCCTTCCATCAGAACTTACTCTCAGACAAGCAATCAACATGTTACTCTCTTTAGGATGTTTCTAAATGCCATTTGATGCATGCTTTCTCATAGGAAAATGAAAACTTTATCCTCCATAGGAGTAGTAAGGCCAGGACTATTATGCTGATTCACCCTGGTACAGGCAATGAGAGGGTGCAGTGTTTGTAGAGAATTTGAAAAGTGTAAAACAAACTAAAGGTTGATCTCCTTTTTATTAGAATCATGGGTAGGCAATTCTAAACAGCATTAGTGATAAAATATTTTTCTTCTAAAATAAATATTTTGTTGGTCAAAGTTTTAAATTGTTTTGGTTGCTGTAGCGTTTTAGTGATAACATGTTTAAACTTCAAAGTATTGCATTTATATTACAAATACTTTAATAAATATTGTATTCTACCTGGTGTTTAACTCAGATAATCCAAAATTATTTTGCTGGCCTCAGACACATGAAGATTCAGTTACACATACATGTTAATTTTGAGAGTAAAATGTTGTTGTGGCGTGTTTCTAACTTGATTTCAGCATTCTGCATGTCTCCAATCTGCGATATTATGTATTGTTGTATACAAACAGATTCAAAATGAACACAAATAGCATACAGCTTAAGTTGGCTGCTTCAATTTGGGTATTCTGTATCACTACATGAAGTTTGTATATGTGTATATAATTTAAGATGGTCAAGTGCGAAGTGGAATATGTAATATAATTGTTAGGATCTAATTTTAGACCATTATGAAAAAGGGTCCAATTCCATTTTTGATGTTTAACTGCTGAGAGCTTTAACACCCCAACCCACTCTCCACTCCTTCTGACTCACATTTGAGCAAGTTTATAAGAAAGTCAGAACACTCTCTTCCTTGGCACCAGCTGGAAGTTCAAATCACACAACCCCCTACCCATGCATGGGAACTCTAACGCAATTTCATTTCTCAATCGCCATTCTCCTGCTATGTCAAGACATTTTCAGACCTGCTTGGTATGCCTGCCTTACTCTTCCAGGAAAATATAATTATGTGACTAATAAACTTTGCCATATAATCTTGGTGCTTATATGGCATCATTAGTCTTGACATTCAGACCAAATATTGGGGGGTAGTTTATCCTGTCTCTTAGGGTTTCCATCAGAAAACATACATAAAATATTTTATTAAATTTAAGTAGTAAATTTTAAATGAAATATATTTTGTTTTTAAATAATCTATGAGATAATGATTATTATTATTACAAAATTGTTAATTTTTTTTCATATAAAGAAGAGGAAGTTTAAAAAATTATTTAGACTGGTTGTCAAATATGCTGGATAAACCACCAGTGTATTTATTTACCAAGGCACGTCTGGAGATGTGCCTGCTCAGATTCTATTTATAGTCCTTTGAATTTCATGCATTAAGAACATCTTCTACATTATCTATCTAGGTAATCTCAATGCCAGGAACTAGTTCTGATAAAACCCAATTAATGGACAGCTTGGAAAGCAAATATAAGTATTGCCTCTAGGAACAGGTGACTAATCTATCAGCTTATATTTTTAAGTGATGAAATTTCTTTCACATTACTTAGTGTGAAATTCTTCACAGCTCAAAACTCCTAAATAAAAAGATATGTCAGTCTTTCCATTAGCATATATTTGATTCAATTCCCTCCATGGGTCGTATAAGTGAAAGTTTAAATTAATAATTTTAAACATTTGTAGGTTTCACATATTTGACAAAGGTGAAAGTTATAATCATATTCAATGCTTGATAGTTGAATACATTATATGGCCTTTACGTGCTATCTCATTTACTACTAACAATAACCTCATGAGATAAATAATATGATCTTCATTTACACATGTGGTCATTGAGGAACAGAGCAGATGCATGATGTTTTCAAGTTCACATAACTAGTGACAAAACAAGGAAATACATGTTTGGTGGCTTACTATATTTATAAAAATGTAATGGAATCACAGTAGTTTTGTATCATTGTATAATAAGAACTGCACAGGTTTGAAAGTTAGGGCTGATTTGAAACCCTGGGCCTTTATTCACTAGCTGAAAAATCTGGATGTAAAAGAACATCATGGTAAAAACATGGTTCACAGGCTTAATATTTTCTTACGAAAAGATTAACGCATTTTTTATTGCAACAGAAAATACATAACAAAAAATCAATGCTCTAGTTTTTAAGTGTCTAGTGCAATATTGTAAAATATATGTCCAAGATTACAAATTATAAATATATGATACTGTATAGAAAATCTCTAGAACATTTTCATGCTAGTCTAAAACTCTGTCTTTTGAACAGCAACTCTATTTTCTCCTACCCCAGCCCCGACCACCACCATTCTACTTTCTGCATCTACGAGTTTGACAAATATAGTTCCTAATGTAAGTGGAATCCTTCTATAACTGGCTTATTTCACCTAGCATGGTGTCCCTAAGTTCCATTCACATTCTAGTACATGACAGGATTTCCTTCTTATTTAAAACCCAATAATATTTCATTATGTGCATGTACCATACATTTTTTTATCCATTCATCTGCCCATGGACATTTAGGTTGCTGTCACCACTTGGCTTTTGTGAATAATGTTACAGTAAACATGGGAGTGCAAATATCTCTTCAAGGTTCTATTTTTATGGATACATACCTAGAAGTGGGATTGCTGGTTCACATGGTACTTATAGTATCTAATTTCTTTGTGGAACCTCCATAATATATTCCATTTTTGTGAAAGCCTTTTACATTCCTCCCAACAGTGCACAAGGGCCCCTTTCCTCCACATCCTCACCAACACTGGTTATTCACTGCAATTTTGATGATATCCATCTTAACAGTGTGAAACAATATGTCATTCAGGTTTTGATTTGCATTTCCTTCATGATTAGTGACATTGAGCTCTTTTCTTTTTTTCTACTACTATACTTTAAGTTCTAGGGTACATGTGCACGACGTGCAGGTTTGTTACATATGTATACATGTGCCATGTTGGTGTGCTGCACCCATTAACTCCTCATTTACATTAGGTATATCTCCTAATGCTATCCCTCCCCCCACCCCCACCCCACGACAGGCCCCGGTGTGTGATGTTCCCCTTCCTGTGTCCAAGTGTTCTCATTGTTAAATTTCCACCTATGAGTGAGAACATGCGGTGTTTGGTTTTTTGTCCTTGTGATAGTTTGCTGAGAATGATGGTTTCTGGCTTCATCCATGTCCCTACAAAGGACATGAACTCATCCTTTTTTATGGCTGCATAGTATTCCATGGTGTATATGTGCCACATTTTCTTAATCCAGTCTATCATTGATGGACATTTGGGTTGGTTCCAAGTCTTTGCTATTGTGAATAGTGCTGCAATAAACATACGTGTGCATGTGTCTTTATAGCAGCATGATTTATAATCCTTTGGGTATATACCCAGTAATGGGATGGCTGGGTCAAATGGTATTTCTAGTTCTAGATCTTTGAGGAATCACCATGCTCTCTTCCACAATGGTTGAACTAGTTTACATTCCCACCAACAGTGTAAAAGTGTTCCTATTTCTCTACATCCTCTCCAGCACCAGTTGTTTCCTGAGTTTTTAATGATCGCCATTCTAACTGGTGTGAGATGGCATCTCATTGTGATTTTGATTTGCATTTCTCTGATGGCCAGTGATGATGAGCATTTTTTCATGTGTCTGTTGGCTGCATAAATGTCTTCTTTTGATGAGTGTCTGTTCATATCCTTTGCCCACTTTTTGATGGGGTTGTTGGTTTTTTTCTTGTAAATTTGTTTGAGTTCTTTGTAGATTCTGGATATTAGTCCTTTGTCAGATGAGTAGATTGAAAAAATTTTCTCCCATTCTGTAGGTTGCCTGTTCACTCTGATGGTAGTTTCTTTTGCTGTGCAGAAGCTCTTTGGTTTAATTAGATCCTATTTGTCAATTTTGGCTTTTGTTGCCATTGCTTTTGGTGTTTTAGACATGAAGTCCTTGCTCATGCTAGTATCAAAACAGAGATATAGACCAATGGAACAGAACAGAGCCCTCAGAAATAATACCACACCTCTACAACCGTCTGATCTTTGACAAATCTGACAAAAACAAGAAATGGGGAAAGGATTCCCTACCTAATAAATCGTGCTGGGTAAACTGGCTAGCCATATGTAGAAAGCTGAAACTGGATCCCTTCCTTACACCTTATACAAAAATTAATTCAAGATGGATTAAAGACAAATTTTAGACCTAAAACCATAAAAACCCTAGAAGAAAACCTAGGCAATACCATTCAGGATATAGACATTGAGCTCTTTTCATATTCCTGTTGACCAATTGTATGTCTTCTTTGGAGAAATGTCTATTCAAAGCATTTTCTCATTTGTAATTTGCTCTGAGCAAGAGGTTACCAAGTCATATTGTGTCTGCAGCAGTTAGCTACCCAGATCTCTTTTGTTCTTAGTGGTCCCAAGGAACCTAGAATATGCCATGTTCCCTTACCATACTAAGACTGGAGAGACAAATACCTGTCCCTCAGACAACCCTCTGAAAACCCAAAACTTTGGAAGCATTCTCTGTCTTTTCCTTTTCAAGAAGAGACCATGAGTTGGGAGTTTTTTCTCCTAATCATCTTGCTGTGCTAAGCGGAAAGGGACCATTGTGAGTGAATGCATGATAATCTAATCCTCCCCCCAACCTGTACTTTTTCTTCATGGCCTCCAAGCTCGCACTCTTTCCTGTTAGCACTTCAATTCAGACAAGACAGCAGAAATCAGTTCTTCAGCCCCCCTAAAAGTATGAATATTGAATACATGTTTTAGTCTTCTCTTTGCCTTCCTAGGAAGAAGTTAAAAGCTGGGAGTCTTCTCCTAATGGCACTGCACTGTGCTGGTGGGGAGAAACTATGACAAGTAAGTGCCACAAAAATTTTTACCAGCTTTGATGCAGCCAATTTTGTGCTCCCTGGGTGTGCAAAAGACTCTTAATATGTTTCTGAATTTTTCACAAAGGGAATTGGTCTGTGTACTGTTGTTGAGTAGGTGTCCCTGCATAATATACATACACACATTAATATTTGATTAATTAGATTGCTGGGGAGTGTATACATATATATGTTATGTATTATATATAAATTATGTTTTGTTATGTATTACAAATCGATGAAAACATACATATGAAAGTATTTGTATATATATTACAACTAACTGTGTGTGTGTGTGTACTTGCGGAAAACTGATAAAAAGATTTTTCTTAGATTTTACTTTCTTCCCAAATAGTTTTATTTTCAGAACTACTTTTTCAATGCTGAAGGAAAGCTTCACAATTTATTATAAACGCTTAAATAAAAAACAAAATATCCTATAAACAATATTTTAATGTGGTAATATATTTTCTGTCTCTTTAGGGTACTTTAGTAAAACTAAGAAAATCAGTTAGTAAAATGTAGTTTAACGTGAGACAAGGGAGCGGACATTAATATTCCATTATGAACTCACCAGCAAAGAGAATGCTGTGCCCCTCCACACAAGGTCCTATTCGCATATGTCATCTCCAGGAAGGTCAAAGCAAAACTAGTTTTTAAAAATTTTTTATCTTATATATGCTTATGAAGAAGAAAAGATGACAGTTCTCAGCAGTCACAGCAATACTTAATTTATTTAAGAGACAAAGATAAGTGACAGGTAGAGAATATTGCTGTCAAGCTTTGGAGACCTTGAGATAAAGTGAAACTCTTTTTGATATAACCAAAGGTCACATCCTTAGTACGTGAAGAAGCCCTTCCATGATCTTTTTTTTTTTTTTTTTTTTCATTTCTTGGTGTCAAAATGAGTTTGGATAAGTCTGGAATTGTTTCTCAGTTTTAATGGAACCAAGACCCCAAGTAGATAAGGCAAAAGGACAAAGCAATATGAAACTATGAACAATTAGGCTAAAATTATAGATTTTTCAAAATAATGAATTAAATCACTTTTTTATTTTTATAAACCATTGTCAGCATTAGAAAAGTTCCATAATCTTTGAAGAAATAATACAGGTTTGGACAATCTATTGTACAATTATGGAATATTGATTATTCAAAACTATGTATTGACAACTTTGTGCCATTGTCTACCATTATAGCTCTTTTATTTTAGTGAAATGAAATAATTATTCAAATAATCTCAAACACAATTACATACTGTGATGCATTTATGAAAGATAAATATAGGATTCTGTGGGCAACAGAGTGGGAATAGATGTGTTATTGGTATCAGGGAAATTGTTTATGAGGAAATGGACCTCACCAAAAAAGGACAATATGGTTAAACACAGGCAAAGGGAAGAGAATGTTATGGGGGCTGGCTTGACATACTCTTGTAGACCATGGGAAGGATTGGAAAGTAACAGTATCCTTTGGAGGAACTTTATAAAAGGAAATAAACTTTAAATAGAATGAATGCTCTGATGTTTACTAATTAATCTACCTCCAATTTTAACAAGTTTTATTTTCTGAATTTTTCCAATTCTGCCTATTAAATGCAAAAGTCTATAAGGAATAGTAAGAAAAAGGTAAAACTAGGGGTGCAACATCAATTTCCTCACAGAAAATAAACATTAAAGGAAGTAGGAGAGTGTAGTAGATCTACAGGAGAGACAATTCTGAGATACTAACTACCTAGGTAAACAGATGGTCTTGAGAGCCTTGATTTTTGCCCATATGATATTGTCAATCATATTACCATTATCTTTCCTTTGAATTTCTATATTACTGCAGTTACATATAGCTTGTTGATCCACTTTTAATTAAATATCATTATTAAAATACTTATAGCAGACAACACTGAAACAACTTTGGCTTTAACAAAATTACTCATCTTCACTTTGTCACTAAATCCCTTCTATTATATAGATAATGATATGAACATCCAGCAAAGAATGCCATGTTGACAGAGCTTGGAAAGCCATCTTACACCTTTAGCTACTATTTTCTTTTTCCCATAAATGGCCTGCTTTACTACAAGATTCCCTGCCAGTTACAGGGGTAGATTTCCATAGACCAGCCATATTTTTTCAAACAGTGCATTTATATTACAAATACCTGCTTGACTATTGTAACATGGCCCTGAGTATGTAGTAACAGTTTTAAGAATATGTGTTTTCATTTTTAATGTTGTCTTTTGGGAAGTTTGTTTGAGTGAATGTACAAGCTAAACTACCCAGAATAAATCTACCTTAATAAAAGTTTGAACAACAACAAAAAATGTTCTTATGAAAGTCAGAAAATATTCATTGTCTGTTAGTGCTAAATGCTATACAATACCTATAATAACAACTTATTATTAGCCACCTGTCATATGCCAAAGGTTTGGCTTATTGTATTTAATCTATGTGATATAATAGTTATATCATAATAACTACGTGATATAATAGTTATATTTTATCAAAAAAAAAATGGAAATCAGTGAGTTTATTTTACTTGTCAAAGTAACCTGGATTCTACCTAGGTTTGTCTGCTTTCATTTTGCTGTTTATCATACCTTTAACATTCATTTTGGATTATATAAGTCCTTTGGCTCTCATAGAAAAATAAAAATTTTTCTGTGAAATGTATGTCTTTAACTCTCTTACCTTCTCTCACTCTCCTATTCACTGTAATCATTAACTCTATTTTCTATATTTTTCTCTGCATAAATAGGTCTCCTGCACTCAATCAGCTGGGCTTGGCATACTTTGCATTGTAAATTGCCAAACTGTTGCTTTGATTCTTTGCCATCTCCAATAAACTTGGTCATAGAACTACTTCTGCCATTAAATAAATGTATGGCTGTAAGAACCCACATAACCATTCTGAACATCTTTTTTTCTCATCTCTACAAATAATAAAGGAGTCAATTTAGGCAATCTCAAATTTCTTTTAAAGCATTAGTAATACAATACTAAAATACTTAATGCTGATTTTTAAAATTTGAGCACATCTTAATTTGTGTAATTTTTGGAAATTGATTCTACATACTAATTTTGGCTCACCACGTCTTTATAAAAGCTAATATATCCTAAAATGTGTTTTATTAAAAATTGGTTCAATGAAGTGTTCCTTGAAAATGAGGTGCCCAAATCAAACAGGTTTGGAAAATTCTGCTTCCTTTATGCTTTTCTTTATGTTCAGTTAATTCCAATAGATGTTAGCATATTAAATTGTTATAGACATTGAATAGTGAAATAATTAGTATTTAACTCAGCTTTTTTTTTTTTTAAATGTTTCC
The DNA here is from genome assembly GCF_000001405.40 of Homo sapiens. Lineage (NCBI taxonomy): Eukaryota > Metazoa > Chordata > Mammalia > Primates > Hominidae > Homo > Homo sapiens. The sequence continues at coordinate 31,176,761 of NC_000009.12, read as the reverse complement.
TGGGCTTCTATCTTTTATCTCTTACCGGACTTCCTTTACAATATGCTCAGAGTTCACCAAACTCACATTGTTACCTGGGTTGAAAGAGTTTAGAGATGATTACTTTTAAAATGTATACATATATGTGTATTTATACCTGTGATTATACTTTATTTTTTAGCATTGCTATAACTTAAGAAGGTCCTACATAACTTTAGAAAATTAAATGTTTAATGTTCCTTAGATTTCTGTGCACTTGCGTCATATATATGGTTAATAGTGGAATTGTAGATGCCACACATGATGTGCAAGGTGCTATCCCATTTATCTTACATGCCACAAAATGAAAGCAGGAAAATAGGTATCCTTTAGAAGATATCATCCTAATTGTGTGTGTTTCCCAAAAGGTTATAGAGTGTCATTTATGAAATATGTATGATATGTGTAGATTTCTGCATATGAAACATGAAAAATTATAAAACGAGCAAGAGTGAGATACATCTATCAAACGTATTTGACTTTTGTAAGACAATGACATGAGAGTAAATTTGCCCTGGGAATATTATCAGAATAACAATTATTTTTTAATATTTTTGTTTTGACTTAGGGAAAATGGCTCAAAAATCAATAAACAACTAGACCAGCAATCTAGGTGTTGATTGATTCAGAAATTGTTTACTTCTTTGCATAATTCAACTACACAGACAATTATTGCCTAAACATATTGAAACTCAAATCCAAGATCCCACAGAGGGTATTATCGATTTTTATGAAAAAAAAAAAGCATATGTGTAGCAATGCATGACAATTAGATGTACTTCTAGACAATTGAGAGGGCATGACCATTCTCTGTAGGAAACCATGCACAACATTCATGTAAATTCATTAAATTTGTGACCAGTCACCCATAAAAGATGATTACATATGTCTGAATATGAGGTGACCTGATTGTCCTATTAAACACGGCTTTAGAGCAAACCATAACTATAATGGAGTTTACTGTGCAGAAAGATGAATAAAAATAAACAGGAGAGCTATTTTACAGTGTTTATGTGAGGGATATAAATAATTGAATCTAGTATATAATTAAATTTGCACAGTCTACATAAAGGCTCAAGGTAAGATGCGCTTAAAGATAGGATAGTAATGTTGTTTAGGTAATTGGTCTTCGGAAGTAAGGCTCAAAGAGAGACACACTTTCTCTAAGGGAACAACATTACCAACAAAAAAGGTTCTCTTGGGGGGTTGAAGTGTTCCTAAAACTGCTCCCTGACAAATAGATTTTAATTCAGTCGAAATGTTCACAGAGGTCTGAGGTAGAGAAACACTGAGGGTAGGGAGACTGTCTAATATGCTGTTAGAAACCTCACCACTTCTTATATTGTTATGATAAGGAAATCTGAATGATCTTTTATTGATTTGTGCTGAATGTTATGTTGTTAATTATATACCACCTTTAGACAAGAACTATGTGGCTAGTGGTTCATTTGAGCTGACAAAGCCTAATTTCTGTGCCCACCTTTACATATTTTGATTAAATAAGATTTCATATTGAGTAATATTAACTTCCTTTTATAATATTGATAAACAGCCCAATGTGGTAAATAGTGGGTGATTAAATATTAGCAATTTTTTTGCTCTAAATATACACTTTTAGGTCTACTATTTAATCACTGTCTGTGATAAGACTAAAGTTGATCTTACATTATCTTTTAAACTTAGTCAATACGCTCATTTTCTCACTGCACAGATAACAAATCTATTTACTGATCAGCCATTCCATCAAATACATAGTATTTGTATTTTTACCTAATTACCATAAATTCATTCCAAAAAAAAATCACAAACATTTTAACTTCATACCCACAAAGGACCATATGGTGCCGGGTGTTTCCTTCAATCAACTCTGTATCTAATAGAAGACATGGAAATGTTCATGAATATTTATTTCATAGTGAGATAAATGTCATGATAAAGAAATGTGCATAGTCATATGGGAACAGAATAGATGTATGCCCAAATCAGACTGTATTCAAGGAAAGCTTTCTAGAAATAAAACTTTATGTTGTTTATAGAAGAAAAGATAAGTTTAAGTTGTTTATAGAAGAAAAGATAAAAGGTAATTCCAAGGACATCACTCTGACTGAGCATGGAGGGGAGAATGAGGAAAAAACATTAGTAGTATGCCTAATAGCACTATGGGACACAAGTTGAAATCTATGAAATAAAAAACGCAAAGACATTTTGCTTGGGTTAATTTCAGTCAGTTTTTTTCCAGAATTTCCATTTTAACTAAAATTATTAGCCAGAGCTCATACACAGATCAGTCTGCAAGGCTCAACCAGGTCTGCGTGCTTCACATGTGTATCCTTTGCTGCACCTTCTACCTATGCTGATTTATTATTTAAACTCATCTGTGAAGTGCTTTGAAGAAAACTTTGACCCATTTTTAAATTGTGTTATTTAGCTTTTTAGTTGATTTCTAGTATTCTTTATATATTCTGAATACAAATCATTTTCATATGCGTGTATCCAAAATACCTTCTCTCTCTCAGAATCACCTATTCATTTGATGAATAATCTGATTGACAAATAATCTCCACTTCAATTAACGTACATTATAAATTTCTTTTGTATGAGTATTATTTTATGTGCATTACCATTGTAAAAATACTTTGGTACTGCAAAGTCATATAGATGTTCCTCTAAATGTATTTATAAATGTATTTACAAACATTCTAGAATGTTTTATTGTTTCAGCTTTAACATTAATCATATTAACAGGCTTAAATCTCTATTCAATCTCAAATTAACTTTTCTATATGGTGTAAGGTAGACTTGGGGTTTGTGTATTTTATCCCATATAAATATCCAATTGCTTTATCACTATTGATAGGAAAAAGTAACCTTACTAAAATATATTTTGTTGGCAGCCTTGTCAAAAACCAAGTACCTATAAATATGTATGTCAATTCTGGGCTTTTAATTCTGTCCTAGTGATCTATATGTCTATGAATTGTCTACTATTGAAAACTATACTATGTTTATCCTTGTGCAAATCTCTGTCTTTCGATAGGAGTGATTAATTCAATTACATTTAGTATAATTACTGATTAGGTAAGATTTTTATTTTATATGCCTATTTTCTTCCTTAACATCTGGTATCTTTTTCTGGTAACTTCTTCCTCCATTAGTGCTTTATTTCTGTATGTGTTAAAAAAATATTTAATCTGAATTTATTTCACAAGATTTTTGAGTTATATTCTTAATGGTTATCCATGAGAATTATAATTAACAATTTAAAATCCTAGTTCAAATTAATACCAACTTAATTTCAATAGTGTAACAGCTTTTGTTCAAATATAGCTGTTTTCTCCTGTTCTTTATTTATTGTCTAAGAAATTACATATTTATGCGTACATAATAAACCCATAAGCACAGGTTTATAATTATCACCAAATGCAGTTGTCTTAGAATCAGAAGAAAAGGAGTTACAAGTAGAAGTGCTTTCCTGTTGTCTTTTACATATACATATGCAATTACCTTTGCTGGTCTTTCTTCCTTTCTTTTTTTCTTTCTTTATTTGAGTTATTGCTTATTATCCTTTTGCTTATTCCCAAAGTATTCTTTTTGGCCAGCATTGTTTATTCCCAAAGTATTCTTGTTTGCCAGCAGTGTGATATCTCAGTTTTGTTTATTTGGGAATATTAATTTACCTTTAATTTTGAAAAATAGCTTTTGGAAACATAATTTTTCATTGAAGGTCTTCTTATTTCAGCATTTTTTAATATGTCATTCATCTCCATTTTGGCCTCCATGTTTTCTGAAAATAATTCAGCTGTTTATCTTATTGAGGATCTGCTGTATGTTATGAATACTTTTTTCTTGCTGTCTGCCAGAGTCTCTTTTTGTCTATTGATTTCAACAGTTTGATGATGATTTGACTAGATACTCCTCTCTTTTAATTTATCCTAATTTTCAAAGGATCATCAAATAATATGAGTACATATTTTTTTTAATCCACTGCATATATATTAAGAACTACCACGAGTCAGGCACTGCTCTAAGCATCTTAACCTAGTGACTGATTTAATCTTCACAAATATCTTACTATTAGATGAAAAAACTAATTTTATATATGGGGAAATTGTCCATTGAGGATATATGTTCAATTTCCAAAGACAAACAAACAGCAAAACCAACACTGTTACTGCAAGCCATCTTGCACTCAAACTTATGTGTTAGTACAACGCTATTAAACCTCTTAAAGACAGCATCACTAAGTTTACCTTCCAAGGAAAGAAAATAATTAAGAATGCCTATGAACATTGATTTTCTCTACACAATGGGACTTGGGATGTCATAGAAAGGAAGGCTGCAGCTTCATATACAAGCAATAAAAGGCAATAGCCTAATATACTGGTTGCAAAGCTTAGAAAATTCAAGGCATTTTATATTTGAATTAGTGAAGTTTGGTCTCAAATTCAGAGAAATTTTGTTTTCATTAGTAACGATGTGATAGATCTGAACCTGACTCTGATTTCAAGCCTTTAGGACTTACAGCTGAGTAAAAATGGGACTTGCACAGATGACCAATCATTCTCAAATTTGCTATACTTATCAGGGAAGAATTCAAGACAATTTCTTCTCATTTGTAAATGAAAGAGGGTACAAGCCAAGGTCTTCAGGACATGAAGAAATCAGAAAACAGTATTTCTATATAATATATAACTGAATTTCAAAGCATACGAATCTGTGGTCAGAATATGAGCCTCTTAGAAATTTCTTTGTTTGTGGTTTGACTGTCAGCTCAGATATGTTAAGCATTCTTTTTTTGATGACATGCTTTTTACTGAAAATTTTTCTATTAATTTAAAGTTTTATGGATGTAGAATTGAAATGAGTTTCTATTATGAAAATGAAGTGTCATAATTTTTAATCAGTATGAATCACCTTTGGGGCTGACTAATGAAAGACTATGAAAGGGACAGGAAGGATAACAAAAAAGCAATCATAAAAATCCAGATTATATTTTAAGGGCTGCAGTTTAAACTCTGAACAGTCACAAGTAACCATTTTAACACTCATCATTCTATATTCTGAAAACATTTGCCTTTGCTAGAGAAGTCAAATTTGCAGTGTTTCAGTTGTGGTAATAGTACATCAGTAACAAAATATTTTTACTTATTAATTCTTATTACACCTTCTACTCTATCAAATGAAATAATAATAGTAATAATAAAACAATTAATAATATACCTTTCAAATAATCAATTTTGGAAGCATAAAGGTAACAGTAAATTGTATATACATAGGACCATATTTAATTCATACTAAATAAAGGAAAACATTTTACTTTTACAAAAAAAGGATAAAGAAAAGTGAGATTAGTACTATAAAACAAGGATTTTGGAGTTACATGGCACAGGATAAAGTCTCAATGTTACGACTTTATAATTTTATCAACTGAATGAATCCAATTTTTAATAAACTATCCTTTAAAATGTTTCCTTTGCAGAGTTGTCAGAATGTTGTGAAACGATAAATTTCACAAGTAGTACTTAGAATAAGGCTTGGCTTGATATACAGGACAACTAGCAATTATTAATGCCATAATCTCTGGCCAGATGAGTTTAATTAAAAAGTCACAGGCAGATCACGAGGTGAGATCAAGACCATCCTGGCTAACACGGTGAAACCCCGTCTCTACTAAAAATACAAAAAATTAGCCAGGCATGGTGGCGGGCGCCTGTAGTCCCAGCTACTCGGGAGGCTGAGGCAGGAGAATGGCGTGAACCAAGGAGGAGGAGCTTGCAGTGAGCCGAGATCCCACCACTGCACTCCAGCCTGGGAGAAAGAGTGAGACGCCGTCTCAAAAAAAAAAAAAAAAAAAAAAAAAGTCATATTTACTATCAAGCACTATATCAAATAACAAAAAGGATATTTTATCTCAAATAAATAATTTTCAGATTGAGAACTATGAATTTTTGCTGGTAGAAATGTCCTGACATAGAACATTCAATATGTGATAGACAATATTATAAATAAAATTGATATCATTGACAAATTCAAAGATAGTGCATATTATATTCTGGTTGATTAATTTTTCTTCAAGTACATATACTTGCCTAAAACTTGTGAATAGTTTATATCAAATTTCTGTCACTACGCAGTTTTCAATTTTTATTTATGTGTGTAAAATAAGAATTGTATCATATTATTAAATTTCATTTTCATGCATGATTTGTAAAGTTTGCATAATATCCTATTTTCTATATGCAGCCTAATTCACTTAGCATTTTACAGTGAAAATAACTTTAAAAGCGGACAAAGCAAGGACCCCAAAATTTGCAAGTATATGCAGCAAACCTTTATTGAGTGCCTAAAAACGTACTGAGTATGGCAATTAGCATATGAAACTGAAGAAAACCAAACAGATTTTAAAAAAGGAATTAAGTTTTTATGAGAAATACAAAGCAAAGTTATTAACAAGTCTATTACTACTAAATGTTCAAAACTGGAATAAAGCATAGTGTGCCACATTATAGCCAAATATTATTTATGAACATCAATAGTAAAATTCTACATAAAATACCAGCAAAAACAATACAGCAGAAAAATAATTAACAGCCTACTATAACCAAGTAGAATTTGCACCAATAACTCAAGAATTGTTTAACATTTAGAAATCTGTATATATTTTTCAGTTTATTTGGTCATAAGTAAAAAATAATCATTTAAACAGATGCCAAAAATAGATTTAATTAAATTCAGTATTTTGATAAAATGTTATTGAAATATATTTATACATTGTTATTTATGCAACATTTATGATGCTGCCACATCTCATATGTTCATCATTCAATAACCTGCAAGTGGCACAGTATCTGATACATGTGCAAACATTATTGAGCAGCAGATAAAACTGCTCTCATTATTATTGTGTAGCATTGTTCCGGATATTACAGTCAACACAGATTAGAGAAATGAACGTTATAAATTTTTCACATTAAAAAATAAATATTTATTCATGGTTAGTGATAGAATAACTGGAGTAGTCATGTGAACTATCAAAATATTGTTAGAAGTAATATGAATTATTATTATTCGAATAAATTAATGGCTTTCTTATGAAGAAAATATCATAGTTATAATAGAAATTTCTATTAATTTAAAGTTTTATGGATGTAGAATTGAAATGAGTTTCTATTATGAAAATGAAGTGTCATAATTTTTAATCAGTATGAATCACCTCTGGGTCAATTTTATATAATTTTATATAAGAAGTTTATATTTCCCTAAAAAAGGCATAAAAGAAATTATATCAGTATAGAATGTCATACCTTGATTTTGAATAGAAAAAATTCAGTATTAAAATATTTCACTACTCCAAGTAGTAACTATAAAATTTATTATGATCCTATTTGGCAGACAACTTAATTATAAAACTCAGAATGATTCTGAATAAGAATATTTAAAGATAAATAGACCTATTCAAGTGAGCAACTGACTATTTTCACATATTATCTAATTAAATCTTATACTGGTGTAGATGCATGGTGATATAGAACAAATAATGAAAGATAATAAGAAGCCTACTTTAATATTTAATTTAATATGCAATTAGTTTGGCATTTCAAGTTAAAGAGGAAAATACGGATTATTCAATAAATAATATAGGGGAAAACTAGAAACATAAGAACTAAGTTGGATCTGTATTGATATAAAATATTTTCAAATAAAAACTTTATCAAAGTTTGTACAGAAATTAAATAAAATATTTAGTATTAATCTTTGGATAGTGAACAACTTTCTAAGAAGGAACATCAGAAGGTCTAAACAAGAGCGATACACGAGACCATGTCAAAATCAAAACAAATCTGAGGACTCTGCCTCTGGGAAGTGGACACCCTTTCCTCTATTCATTCCACTAAGTCTAGAAAAACCAGCCAACCAACCAACTAACCAACAAACAGACAGACAAATTACGGACAGAATCTACTGCTAGCATGAAAGAATGAGAAACTTTGAAGGCTTACTACCTAATGAAAATGATAACTCTGTGTGTGTGTGTTGTGTGTGTGTGTGTGTGGAGAGAGAGAGAGAGAGAGAGACTCTGAAAATGGTCTTACATCAGAGTAATAAACATTTAAGAAAATCCATACAAATTCAGTAAGAAAAGCAAGAGCTTCTAATATTTACACTCAGCTAAGTGAGGAAGAAATTCTGTTTCTGACTTGTGCAGCTAAGAACACAGGGCTCCATATCCTTAGAGTTTCAAGTCCCAAGTCAGAGGGCTGTCTTTCTGGGAGGAAATTTATTATTCAGCATTCTTCATCCTCCACCCAGCTGTCTGTTGTCTAGCCTATGTATGATCTCAGTGAGTGCAGTCAAGAGGGAGGGGTTACAATATTTTCTTTAGGAGTCATTGGTAGAATAGAGACTCTACCTTGGGCATTGAACTACTAAGAATACATTCTTGCCCTGACTTGTAAGGCAGTGATCCCATACCAGGTGAAGTAATTAAATAAGATCTCAGGCATCCACTGAAAGTTCAATTCCTAGAAAAGAGATGTTACTCAAAGACAAGTATGCCATTGTACCCATATCCAGCTCCAGTGCCTTGGTTCAGAGATTTTGCCTGGAGGGAGTGCAGGACATTTCTCCAGGTGATCTGGGACCAAATCAGTTCTCCCACTTTTCTCACTTGTACTTCTCAAGAATTATTGTATTAAATGCAATATCCTGAGACAAGGAGGAACTGGTTAGAACAATCAGGGCTCTGTTCCCAGCCCTCCCAGAACAGCATGTGCTTCAAGGCTTTAGCCCTGCAGGTCAAGTAATCTTCAGGGTATAAAACCCAGGGTGGGCTGCTTTCTGGGGTCCTTCAGCTGTCATGCAACTACAGCAAGTATAGATGAGACTTCATCTACCTGTGCAGCTTTCGTGAGCCTTGGGGGATCTGCTCATCACGAATCCTAGGTTTCTATTGCCCCTTGCTGCCCCTCTGTAAATAATAATACTGATTCATGTAACTTGTATGTACAATGCTCTGTTTCACCAGACTCAGGCAAGTAGGAAAAGTACAACCCAAGATGGAGTGGGCTGAAATAGTAACCAATGCACAGTGAACCTGCTCTGCAGAGGGAAGCAGGCTGTAAAGCACATAGCCCCTCATCACTTCCCAGAGGAACTAACTTCATTTGCAAAAAAACATGGGCAAGCTAAAGATTAAGGGTGCTCTCAAAACAGCAAAGGTCTTGAATGGTGGGGAGCAGCAACCAGGAAATTTTTGGGCTAGTTTGCTGAAGAGAGCCAGGGAGGGGAAATGGCTAGGAGGAGCCCTTCTGGGGTCAGAACAAATATCTAACATTGACCTCAGGAACTGTTCCTTTACGTGAACCTGGATCCAGGAAGTGTTGAAAATGGAGCAGTCTTCCAGCAATTAATGAAGCTTAACAGCTTGGGCAAGTTATGGACAGAAATTAAATGAGCCATGACAATTAGTACTACCACACGTCTGTAGAATATTGTCCAGGATAGACCATATACTAAGCCCTAAAACAAATCTCAATGAGTTTAAAATGATAGAAATCATATACTGTATATAATCTTACCTCAATGGTAGAAAATTAGAGTCAATAACAGAAAAAAAATGAGAAAAGCACAAATTAATTTTACTCCTAAATCAGAAAGGAGTTAAAAAGAAAATCAAGAAGGAAATTACAAAATGGTTTCAAATAAATGACAATCAAGACACACCATGCAAAAACTCCTGAGAGCACAGTCCCAGCATACACTCCACTCCCACACCCCAGTTCTGGTGTAGTCTGCAGCATAAAAACTTGGTGAACTAGGATGCCAGCAGCAACCTAGTGAATGGAAGCCTGAGTGAACGCTCATCCCTAAGCTGGGAAGAATGCCCATACAGTCAGAGAGGATGCCAGTCCCCAGGAAGGACCCTCTTCCCCTTCCCCTATTGATCACATTGGTGCAGGCAGAGCCAAAGCGGACAGCTACCCTCCCACCGGGCAGCAACTCTGGGCAACAAGCCAGGACAGCAGCTGAGTAGAAGATAAAGGCATGGAAGAAGAGATGCAACAGAGCCCAGCAGCCCTATAATCCCCTTGAGGAGGAAGAGGTCCCAGCTGCACTCAGCCTGTCCAACAGCTCTGTCCTGCCTCACTTGGAGTCCATATCCAAGTACCCGCACTCCTAGTACCACATCATGTTCACCAGCAGCCTCAAAACAAAGAAGCATCCCACCACCTTGCTCACTCTTCACATCTCCTGCCCCTTGCATCCAGAGTTGGCCTTGGCCACATTGTCACCAACACTCAGTACGGACAGCCTGTCATCTGAAACCTCCATCTGGAGCCTTTAGCTATGCCAAATACCTCCTCAGATCCTGTCATCCATGCTCCTGGCAACCCTAGTGCAGTGGTGCTTCCTCTGGAATCTGGAACCTGGTCCCTGGACGTCAGGTAAAGCTTTCCAGCAAGGACAATCTTTTTAAGCAGAAGGTATCACCTGAAACATCTCAATCGCAACAAAAGTCACGAAGGGATCCAAGCCAATAAAGCTGCCCTTTCAAGGGCATGACTTCCTCCTTACCAAATGCAAGGTTTAGACTGACCAGTATACTTATGAAGGAGACATCCACAAAGAGGTGGACACTACCAAGTGCTAGATGGATTCTCTCTCAAACACTATGGATTCTCTCTCAAACACTATGAGTTTCTGCTGAAGAGAAGCTTCCTGATGGAGTCAATGACAAAGGCTAGGATACCATGCTGACAGACTTGTGTTTGGAGTCCAAGCTTTTCTATATATCATCCACAAGAAGCACATTCTGGTGTGGTGGGAGTCCAATGCCTTCTCCATAAGCCAGAAAAAGACTAGATCAAGGAAGACTGGGGTGGTAGATGATGCAAATGCAGGAGCTTGTGATTCTCATCTAGCAGTGCAACATCATCTTCAAATGCCTGGAAGAGGACCAGGCGAGGGAGGAAGAGGAAGACAGAATTTGTAAACTATGACAAAAAAGAAAGAGTTCTAGAAAAAATCTGAACCCAAAGGCAAGAAGGGACAGTTGAAGACCAGGAGAGTTCTGAATCTACTAGGGAACAAGCATGATACCAACAGCAATGCTCCACAGAGACAACACTAAGAGGGAGGGGAACCAGCTTGGGGTTGCCACTCTTCATCTTGGCTCAGCACCTAGGCTATTTTCCCCTGGTGAGGGGTTTCTTTCTTCCCTTCAGGATCAGTTGAAATGATAGATGACCAAACAAGAGTCAGACTTTGGGTGTTGGTTTCTCCCTCCTTGGGATCCTCTGGCTGGTCTGGGTCAAAGGGCTGTTTTTCTCTCTTCGCTTACCCTTAGGCAGCTGTGACTCAGCCCTGCCCAATCTGGTTTTGATGTCTTCAGATGCTGTGACTGACTTAAGGAGCGAGCAGTGTCTTAGGGTCCACATAGGGGCAATGGCTGAGTATGCTTGGCCCTCTATCCTGTGCATCCCTGCTTTGATGGACAGCTATGTGGTCCCTCTTCCCTTCTGTGCCATGTCCAAATGGAATTCTTTGCTATCAAAGTTCCACAGCTAACAACACTTCTTATCCATGAGGTTTGCCAGTAGAAGGCCTCTGGCCTGAGTCTACCACCTCCAGGGTTCTGCTCCTCTCGGGAGGCCAGCAAGCAGGGTTTGGGTACATTGGCTTCTTCCTGCCTCAGCCCTGGCCCCAAGTCCCTGTCTTCCTTTCCAGTTCAGGCATCCCTGAATCAGTTTCTTTTTACTCAGGAATTATTTTTATGAATTATCTAATTAAGTTTGAGTTAGTTATTGTGTGGTCTGTATTGTGTCCTCAGACATAAATGGGCCTAATGGACAAATCCCTGTCTTTCTTCCTCAGCGTTCTAGGAGATGCTTTCCTCATTTCTCCTTATTTCATAAGAAACCTCACTTCCCAAGACAGAGTTGTTGTGACGGCCATGCTGGGGCAGGTGGGTGCTCTCTATTAACTCTCCCCATGGCTGAGTTCCTCAGGGAGGGCCTCTGGGATGCAGGTTCTGATTTCTGTGCCAATCTCTCATCAGCATCATAAGGAGGGTCCTCTTCAGGTAGGTGTTAATCCTGGTTCTTCAGGAATCACATTGTAGTCTTATCTCTAATTTAGATTTTCCTCCAGTATCCCAGATCTAGGGAATAGTGGATCCATTCCCATTTGTGGTCATTGCTATTTTGTCTCCTCACATTTCTTTCTTATCTATTCTCTCCCTGATTCATTCCCACCAAAACTGATGGACACTCACCCCACTGAACTGGTTGTGGGAGAGGACAAGCCAATGAGGATAACCAGCTTTTCCCCAGGGCATATGCCCAGCCGTTCTGGATTGAAGCACTGTTGCTATAAGTAATCTCTGAAACACCTCTAGAGACCCCTTCCCTCTACACATCTCTGGGAAAGAAAATCACACTGTATTACTCCCAAGGATTTTCCTCACCAACATTAAATGGAAATCAACTCACTTGATAGTGTCCTGCAAGATTGAGGAGCTTTTCCATCAGCCACATCTGCTTTCTTTTTGCCTCTGCTATGCCTTGTGGCTGAGCATCTCTAGTTTCCTGGGATGGTAGGAGATGATGTTGGGCCTGTCCACTGACAGCAACCTTGAAGTTCAATGCCTGTGACTGCAAGGACTTCTTTTCTCTGTGAGGAGAGTTGGCTCCCTGGACCTGTGTAGCCCTTTACAATCTCCTCCCAAACATACCTGTTGATCTGGAGCTGGGCAACTCCAAGATCTTTTAGTGACCAGGCTGGCAGCATATGTGAGCATGGGTGGATATACCTGAGAGATGGCTCTGGGAGATTATCTTAGTGTCAGGAGACAAGGGTGGTGGGGACAGTGGTAAACTGGTATGTGTATACCACAACAAATAAAGGAAGTTCTTTATCACTTAAGTCATCTGTAGACTGTGAGAATGTGGACCCAGTGTTGCCAGATATTTTCTAATTAACAAAAAAGAAGGTATACATTTGAAAGGAAGAAGGAAGAAAGGAAAAAAGGAAAGAAATAAGGGACATTATTATAGACCTTATAAGATACAAACTATATCCATAAAATTATATCAACAAAAATAGACAATTTAAATATACCTATAACAAGTGAAGTGATTAAAATAGTAATAAAATATTACCCACAAAGTAAAATATAGGTCTAGACTATTGGATTCTATCCATTTTTTTAAAAGGAGAGTTTGTACAAACTCTTCCAAAACACAGAAGAGGAGAGAATATTTCCCAACTAATTTTATAAGGCCTGCTTTACCATGATACAAAAACCAGAGAAAGACATCACAAGAACAAAAAGCTACAGAAAATTATCTCCTGAATACAGATGCAAAAATCGTTAATAAATATTAACAAACCAAATCTAGCAGCATATTAAAAATATACATTATAACTTAGTGAGATTTACCCCAAGAATGCACAGTTGATTAAACATCCTGAAATAATATATCACATCAATGGAATGAAAAACAAAAATCAAATGATCATACAAATAGATATACAGAAAAAGCATTTGACCAAATCTAACACATTTTTATAATAAAAACAATGAACAATCTGGGAGAAGAAGCAACATTTCTCAACCTGATAAAGGGCATCTCTGAATAACCCACTGCTGCTATTATACTTAATAGTTAAAGCCTGAATACTTTTCCAGAAATATCAGAGACAATACGAAGATGCCTGCTCTCACCCATTCTATTCAACATTGTATGGAAATTGTGGCCAGGGCAATAAAGCAAGATAAAAATACAAAAAGCATCCAGTGAATGTCATCCTTAATAGGGACAGATGAATGTTTCCTCTTATTATGGGGAACAATGCAAGAACAACAGTTCTCACAGATCTTATTCAACAGGGTGCTAGAAGTTCTAACCAGGGCAAAAAGGCAAGAAAAGAGTAAAGTCATACGGATTAAAAATGATACAATTTAAAAAGAATAAAATTCTTCCCATTTGCAGATAACATAATTGTATATACATAAAATCCCAAGAACCTACCAAAAAAAAAAAACCATGAAAGCTTGTAAGTTCACAAAGTTTGCAAGCTACAAGATAAACATAAGTAATTAATTTCTATATTACAGAAATACACATATGCAGACATAATTTAAAAATAGAATATTAATTACAATTGCTCAATAATAAATTGTTAGGTAGAAATCTAACAAAACATGCACAGAACTTGTTTGATGAAAACTACAAAACACAGATGAAAGAAGTCAAAAAATCTATTAAGAAATGAAGAGCTATAACATGTTTGTGTATTAAAGATTCAAAAATATATTAAAGATGTAAATTTATCACAAATAAATAGCTTTGATACAATTCCTATTATAAACCCAGCAATATTTTATAAATATAAAAGTTATAAAATTTACATTATAAGCAATAATTTCCATATTTGCATTTTAAATATGTTACAATTAACTCATAAAAACTTCAACATCAGTCAGGTTGGTTTTTACACTCACAAAATACTTCCTACTTGATGTTCCATAACTTTAATTTGAAAAGCACGTCCATCTATCTATGCCAGTATGGTAGAGTTTGAGATAGAGGCCCAGCTTGAAAAGTTGAGAAGTAACTGATTATTTAGAACAGAAAAGCAGTAAATAATGGCTAACTCATTTGAATGTCCTTTTACTTATTGCCATGTGTCACTGATTAGAAAGAGAGCTTTATTATAAATTAAAATAATTATGACACATGGCAAGTATGATCTCATGAAAGTTGTAATGTAAGTCATTGTAGAGAAAAGAAGAGTCTTCATCCATTAATAACACCTTTAGCACAATAATATACAAGTATAGCTAAAAGATATAGGGACACATTTTATTGCTATCATAGTACATTACTTCCTGGGCTTAACTGTCCCATAGAAAAATTATTTTAAATGCAAACTAGCTAACGTCCAGATGGCTGATATTGAAATGAAAAGCAATTAATCTTTTCTAATGGTCTAAAATAAGTAATGACTCCAAAAGTATTCCTTGATTAACACAGTGTTTGAAAATATCATGTAATAAGCAAAACTGAAAAGATGCCCTTTTTTCTTTTTTTTAAGACAGGATCTCACTCTATTGCCCAAGCTGGAATGCAGTGGCTCAATCTTGGCTCACTGCAAACTCTAACTCCCAGACTCAAATGATCCTCCCGCCTCAGTCTCCTGAAGGATTCACTGTTATTCATTCAATGTCATTAAGTTCCTCAGTAAAACAGTAAACACTAAAAAAATCTAGTATGTTTCCTAACCAGATAACTTTTTCCAAAATATAAGACCTCAAACAGGAAGAAATCTTAAAATACGGAACATGTCAATGTTCATATTTGAATAATATAAACTTCATCATATCAGAGGAATTTCTCACTCTTGTCTCCCTTTCTATCTGTGGAAGTATTAAAAGTATGTATACACACTTTTAAGTTTGGAATTAATATACAGTATCAATATATTACATTGGTATATGCGCAGGCTTGTTATACAGGTAAACTCATGTCATTTTTTTTTTTTGGACAGATTATTTTGTCACACAGGTATTAAGCCCTAATACCCATTAGTTATTTTTTTCTGATACATTTAACAATGAAATAAAAATAGGCCACGAAAGAATTTGGTAATATAGAAGATGGCCGAATAGGAGCAGCTCCAATCTACAGCTCCCAGCGTGAGCGATGCAGAAGACGGGTGATTTCTGCATTTCCAACTGAGGTACTGGGTTCCTCTCACCGGGAATTGCCAGATAGTGGGTGCAGGACAGTGGGTGCAGCACACCGTGCCTGAGCCGAAGCAGGGTGAGGCATCACCTCACCCGGGAAGCACAAGGGGTCAGGGAATTCCCTTTCCTAGTCAAAGAAAGGGATGACAGACGGCACCTGGAAAATCGGGTCACTCCCACCCTAATACTGCACTTTTCCAATGGACTTAACAAACGGCACACCAGGAGATTATATCCCACACATGGCTTGGAGGGTCCTACGCTCACGGAGCCTCGCTCATTTGCTAGCACAGCAGTCTGAGATCAAACTGCAAGGCAGCAGCTAGGATGGGGGAGGGGTGCCCACCATTGCTCAGGCTTGAGTAGGTAAACAAAGTGGCCCTGAAGCTCGAACTGGGTGGAGCCCACCACAGCTCAAGGAGGCCTGCCTGCTTCTGTAGGCTCCACCTCTGGGGGCAGGGCACAGACAAACAAAAGACAGCAATAACCTCTGCAGACTTAAATGTCCCTGTCTGACAGCTTTGAAGAGAGTAGTGGTTGTCCTAGCACGCAGCGTGAGATCCGAGAATGGGCAGACTGCCTTCTCAAGTGGGTTCCTGACCCCCGAGTAGCCTAACTGGGAGGCACCCCCCAGTAGGGGCAGACTGACACCTCACATGGCTGGGTACTCCTCTGAGACCAAACTTCCAGAGGAACCATCAGGCAGCAGCATTTGCGGTTCCCCAATATCCGCTGTTCTGCAGCCACCGCTGCTGATACCCAGGCAAACGGAGTCTGGAGTGGATCTCCAGTAAACTCCAGAAGACCTGAAGGTGAGGGTCCTGACAATTAGAAGGAAAACTAACAAAGAGAAAGGACATCCACACCAAAAACCCAACTGTATGTCACCATCATCAAAGACCAAAGGTAGATAAAACCACAAAGATGGGGAAAAAACAGAGCAGAAAAACCAGAAACTCTAAAAATCAGAGCACCTCTTCTCCTCCAAAGGAATGCAGCCCCTCACCAGCAACAGAACAAAGCTGGACGGAGAATGACTTTGACAAGTTGAGAGAGGAAGGCTTCAGAAAATCAAACTACTCCAAGCTAAAGGAGGAAGTTTGAACCAATGGCAAAGAAGTTAAAAACTTTGAAAAAAAATTAGACAAATGGATAACTAGAATAACCAATGCAGAGAAGGCCTTAAAGGACCTGACAGAGCTGAAAACCATGGCATGAGAACTATGTGATGAATGCACAAGCCTCAGTAACCGATGGGATCAACTGGAAGAAAGGGTATCAGTGATGGAAGAAGAAATGAATGAAATGAAGGTTGAAGAGAAGTTTAAAGAAAAAAGAATAAAAAGAAATGAACAAAGCCTCCAAGAAATATGGGACTATGTGAAAAGACCAAATCTATGTCTGATTGGTGTACCTGAAAGTGACGGGGAGAATGGAACCAAGTTGGAAAACACTCTGCAGGATATTATCCAGGAGAATTTCCCCAATCTAGCAAGGCAGGCCAACATTCAAATTCAGGAAATACAGAGAACGCCACAAAGATACTCCTCGAGAAGAGCAACTCCAAGACACATAATTGTCAGACTCACCAAAGTTGAAATGAAGGAAAAAATGTTAAGGGCAGCCAGAGAGAAAGGTCGGGTTACCCACAAAGGGAAATCTATCAGACTAACAGCGGATCTCTCGGCAGAAACTCTACAAGCCAGAAGAGAGTGGGGGCCAATATTCAACATTCTTAAAGAAAGAATTTTCAACCCAGCATTTCATATCCAGCCAAACTAAGCTTCATAAGTGAAGGAGAAATAAAATACTTTACAGACAAGCAAATGCTGAGAGATTCTGTCACCACCAGGCCTGCCCTAAAAGAGCTCCTGAAGGAAGCACTAAACATGGAAAGGAACAACTGGTACCAGCCACTGCAAAAACACGCCAAATTGTAAAGTCCATCGAGGTTAGGAAGAAACTGCATCGACTGACGAGCAAAATAAGCAAAATAGTATTGTTATGTGTGAATAAGGATCAAATTCACACATAACAATACTAATCTTAAATGTAAATAGGCTAAATGCTCCAATTAAAAGACAGACTGGCAAACTGGATAAAGAGTCAAGATCCATCAGTGTGCGGTATTCAGGAAACCCATCTCATATGCAGAGACACACATAGGCTTAAAATAAAGGGATGGAGGAAAATCTACCAAGCAAATGGAAAACAAAAAAAGGCAGGGGTTGCAATCCTAGTCTCTGATAAAACAGACTTTTAAACCACAAAGATCAAAAGAGACAAAGAAGGCCATTACATAATGGTGAAGAGATCGATTCAACAAGAACTGACTATCCTAAATATATATGCACCCAATACAGGAGCATCCAGATTCATAAAGCAGGTCCTTAGTGAACCATAAAGAGACTTAGACTCCCACACAATAATAATGGGAGACTTAAACACCCCACTGTCAACATTATACAGATCAACGAGACAAAGTTAAAAAGGATATCCAGGAATTGAACTCAGCTCTGCACCAAGCGGACCTAATAGACATCTACAGAACTCTCCACCCCAAATCAACAGAATATACATTCATTTCAGCACCACACCACACCTATTCCAAAATTGACCACATAGTTGGAAGTAAAGCACTCCTCAGCAAATGTAAAAGAACAGAAAATATAACAAACTGTCTCTCAGACCACAGTGCAATCAAACTAGAACTCAGGATTAAGAAATTCACTCAAAACTGCTCAACTACATGGAAACTGAACAACCTGCTCCTGAATGACTACTGGGTACATATCGAAATGAAGGCAGAAATAAAGATGTTCTTTGAAACCAACAAAAACAAAGACACAACATACCAGAATCTCTGGGACACATTCAAAGCAGTGTGTAGAGGGAAATTTATAGCACTAAATGCCCACAAGAGAAAGCAGGAAAGATCTAAAATTCACACCCTAACAACACAATTAAAAGAACCAGAGAAGCAAGAGCAAACACATTCAAAAGCTAGCAGAAGGCAAGAAATAACTAAGATCAGAGCAGAACTGAAGGAAATAGAGACACAAAAAACCCTTCAAAAAATCAATGAATCCAGGAGCTTGTTTTTTGAAAAGATCAACAAAATTGATAGACCACTAGCAAGACTAATAAAGAAGAAAAGAGAGAAGAATCAAATAGACTCAATAAAAAATGACAAAGGGGGTATCACCACTGATCCCACAGAAATACAAACTACCATCAGAGAATACTACAAACACCTCTATACAAATAAACTAGAAAATCTCGAAGAAATGGATAAATTCCTCAACACATACACTCTCCCAAGACTAAACGAGGAAGAAGTTGAATCTCTGAATAGACCAATAACAGGCTCTGAAATTCAGGCAATAATTAATAGCTTACCAACCAAAAAAAGTCCACGACCAGATGGATTCACAGCCGAATTCTACCAGAGGTACAAGGAGGAGCTGGTACCATTCCTTCTGAAACTATTCCAATCAATATAAAAAGAGGGAAGCCTCCCTAACTCATTTTATGAGGCCAGCATCATCCTGATACCAAAGCCTGGCAGAGACACAACAAAAAAGAGAATTTTAGACCAATGTCCTTGATGAACATTGATGCAAAAATCCTCAATAAAATACTGGCAAACCAAATCCAGCAACACATCAAAAAGCTTATCCACCATGATTAAGTGGGCTTCATCCCTGGGATGCAAGTCTGGTTCAACATACACAAATCAATAAATGTAATCCAGCATATAAACAAACTAAAGACGAAAACCACATGATTATCTCAATAGATGCAGAAAAGGCCTTTGACAAAATTCAACAGCCCTTCATGCTAAAAACTCTCAATAAATTAGGTATTGATGGGATGTATCTCAAAATAATAAGAGCTATCTATGACAAACCTACAGCCAAAATCATACTGAATGGACAAAAACTGGAAGCATTCCTTTTGAAAACTGGCACAAGACAGGGATGCCCTCTCTCACCACTCCTATTCAACATAGTGTTGGAAGTTCTGGACAGGGTAATCAGGAAGGAGAAGGAAATAAACAGCATTCAATTAAGAGTAAGTTAAATTATCCCTGTTTGCAGATGACATGATTGTATAACTAGAGAACCCCATCGCCTCAGCCCAAAATCTCCTTAAGCTGATAAGCAACTTCAGAAAAGTCTCAGGATACAAAATCAGTGTGCAAAAATCACAAGCATTCTTATACACCAATAACAGACAAACAGAGAGCCAAATCATGACTGAACTCCCATTCACAGTTGCTTCAAAGAGAATAAAATACCTAGGAATCCAACTTACAAGGGATGTGAAGCACCTCTTCAAGGAGAATTACAAACCACTGCTCAAGGAAATAAAAGAGGATACAAACAAATGGAAGAACATTCCATGCTCATGGGTAGGAAGAATCAACATCATGAAAATGGCCATACTGCCCAAGGTAATTTATAGATTCAATGCTATCCCCATCAAGCTACCAATGACTTTCTTCACTGAATTGGAAAAAACTACCTTAAAGTTCATCTGGAACCAAAAAAGAGCGCGCATCACCAAGTCAATCCTAAGCCAAAAGAACAAAGCTGGAGGCATCACGCTACGTGACTTCAAACTATACTACAAGGCTACAGTAACCAAAACAGCATGGTACTGGTACCAAAACAGAGATGTAGATCAATGGAACAGAACAGAGCCCTCAGAAATAATGCCACATATCTACAACTATCTGATCTTTGACAAAGCTGACAAAAACAAGCAATGGGGAAAGGATTCCCTATTAAATAAATGGTGCTGGGAAAACTGGCTAGCCATATGTAGAAAGCTTAAGCTAGATCCCTTCCTTACACCTTACACAAAAATTAATTCAAGATGGAATAAAGACTTACATGTTAGACCTAAAACCATAAAAACCCTACAAGAAAACCTAGGCAATACCATTCAAGACATAGGCATAGGGTAAGGACTTCATGTCTAAAACACCAAAAGCAATGGCAACAAAAGCCAAAATGGACAAATGGGATCTAATTAAACTAAAGGGCTTCTGCACAGCAAAATAAACCACCATCAGAGTGAACAGGCAACCTACAGAATGGGAGAAAATTTTTGCAACCTACTCATCTGACAAAGGGCTAATATCCAGAATCTACAATGAACTCCAACAAATTTACAAGAAAAAAACAAACAACCCCATCAAAAAGTGGGTGAAGGACATGAACAGACACTTCTCAAAAGAAGACATTTATGCAGCCAAAAAACACATGAAAAAATGCTCACCATCACTGGCCATCAGAGAAATGCAAATCAAAACCACAATGAGATACCATCTCACACCAGTTAGAATGGTGATCATTAAAAAGTCAGGAAACAACAGGTGCTGGAGAGGATGTGGAGAAATAGGAACACTTTTACACTGTTGGTGGGACTGTAAACTAGTTCAACCATTGTGGAAGACAGTGTGGTGATTCCTCAGGGATCTAGAACTAGATATACCATTTGACCCAGCCATCTCATTACTGGGTATATACCCAAAGGATTATAAATCATTCTACTATAAAGACACATGCACACATATGTTTATTGCAGCACTATTCACAATGGCAAAGACTTGGAACCAACCCAAATGTCCAACAATGATAGACTGGATTAAGAAAATGTGGCACATATACACCATGGAATACTATGCAGCCATAAAAAATGATGAGTTCATGTCTTTTGTAGGGACATGGATGAAGCTGGAAACCATTATTCTCAGTAAACTATCGGAAGGACAAAAAACCAAACACCACATGTTCTCACCCATAGGTGGGAATTGAACAATGAGAACACGTGGACACAGGAAGGGGAACATCACACACTGGGGACTGTTGTGGGGTGGGGGGAGTGGGGAGGGATAGCATTAGGAGATATACCTAATGCTGAAAGACGAGTTAATGGGTGCAGCACACCAACATGGCACATGTATACATATGTAACAATCCTGCATGTTGTGCACAGGTACCCTAAGACTTTAAGTGTAATAATAATAATAATAAAAAGGAATTTGGTAACATATTAAGGTGTGAGTGCATGTTGGGTTTTTAATATATTTTATTTTTGTATTCTCCATTATTGTATCTGTAGTAGAAGTTTACCCTAATTTAAACTAATTACAAACTATTTAAATAATTATAAATGGCAACAGCTATTATCAGAATCAGCCGATTCACCATGAAGACTTCAATATTGAAAACTGTCAAACTCATTTATGATTTATGTACAATGACATTGAAATCTATATAATATGTTTTGAAGTTTATAAGGTAATAATTGCTAGAATTGTAATAGATGATATTAAGATTCTGGTCGTTTTTTTTCCCTAATACAAAGCCAGTAATACCTATCTAATATAGTTATTTAAAATTTAAACATGTATTTACCAAGGCCATAAAAACTGGTCAAAAATATTAGTTTTTTAACGTATTATATCAATTTTAAATAAAATGCATGATAAAATATAAAACATTTACAGTAGTGCTGAATAAATTCACAAACTAAGAAAAATACATTTCAAAAAACTAGATGAAGAAAACTCAGAACACAATATTCACCTCTAAATAAAGCTAAATGTAATTATTTCTTACATAAACTGTCCTACATTGTTCAAAGTTCCTCTGAGTATGTGGTAACCTTACAAAACATGGAAATATATTTACTTAAATACAAAGTAATCTGAAGAAAATCATATGTGAGCAAATGAGAAAATGAAGAAAATTGAAATGATGTGGGAAGAAAGGTCTAGAAACAATCCTTAGGCAATTCTTACACTGACCAAAAATTACCTGTATGCTGTGAACTGTGTGCTTTGTCGTTTGTAGAAATTACATATATAACATCAAAAAAGCACAAAAATAAGATGCAATTCAATTTAAGTAAACTAAGAAATTAGGATTTATGATATAGATAGATAGATAGATAGATAGATAGATACATAGGTAAATACATAGAAATACCATGAATATGGATAGGTAAGTGTGTACAAATAAGTATTTCCAGGCAGCAAAGGAATAATAAATATTGGGGAAGTATAAGATATTTTAAAGTTCTGAACAAAGTAAAATTTACTGTTAAAATTCTAGGAGAGATTTTTCGTTTAGCTGATTTTTTAAAAGGTGTGTTGAGTGCTAAATCCCCAGAAAACAAAAATGTCTTTTTGCAGACAGATTTTCAAGAATATGCTGATGAGAGAACACTATGTAGGTTTTTTGAACATCTTACACTTTCTTAGAGAGCCTGTCTTCAAGATATTAGAACCTCCTCTCATCTAACCCAAATCATAGATGACTCATCTGCTTACATCTTCACTGTCTTTCAGTTCTCACCACAAAGACACTTCCTTGGCATGTCTTTCCTTATCCTCTCCGATGAAATTCAGTTCTTCATGCATGCTTTATGTTTGTTTGGCCATTCATTTTCTTAAGTGCATCATTATGTGCATTTAGACATCTCATTTTCTCACTGTATTTAAATGAGTGCCAATATTTCTTCTGGACTGTAAGCATGAGGGCAGCATTTTACCATTCTCATATCTGTCATATCTGATCCTCTGTACGTAGCATAATTATTGGCACATAGATGTTTCATAATATTTACTTGATTAACACATAAAATAAAAAATTGCATTTCCTGAACATCACTTTATGAATATTTGTTCACATAGTTTGACCATTTCTTTTTTTTTGTTTGATTGTTTGTTTGTTTTTTGAGACCAAGTCTGGCTCTGTGGCCCAGGCTGGAGTGCAGTGGCACCTTGGCTCACTGCAATCGCCACCTCCTAGGCTCAAGCCATCCTCCCACCTCAGCCTCCCAAGTAACAGGGACTACAGGTGCATGCCACCATGCCTGGCTAATTTTTGTATTTTTGTAGAGATGTGATTTTGCCATGTTACCCAGGCTGATCTTGAACCCCTGGGGTCAGGTGATCTGTCCACCTCAGTCTCCCACAGTGCTGGGATTACAGGCCTGAGCCACCGTGCCTGGCTCACCATTTCTGTTGAGCTCTTTGTTTTCTTATTATTGGGCTTTGAGAATTCTTTGTTATTATAGATAGAAGTATGTTCCTAATATGTGATTTGCAAGTATTTTGTCCCAATCTGGGGCTTGTCCTTTTATGCTTTTTGTAGTATCTTATAAAGAACAAAGATTCCTAATTTTGGAAATCTAATACATCTTTATTTTTATTTTGTATGTTCTCTTTTGGTGCTTTATCTAATACATCTTTACTTCAAATTATAAATATCATGTTTTTATGTAATCTTTGTAAGTATACATGTATATTTAGTTTTATCTTTCATTTTTAGTTTTTTATCTGTAAAATATGAAGTTTATTCATATATTGGCTATCCAATGTTTCAGCATCATTTGTTTAGAAGCTTTTCTCTATTTTCTTCATGAAATTGCTTTGCAGATTTGTAGAAAATCAAGAGGCAATACATATCTGTGGGTCAATTTCTGTATCCTCTACTCTGTTCCATAGATCTATTGTCTATCTTTTTGCCGGTACTACACTGTCTTTCATACTGCAACTTTATCCTAGGTCTTGAAATCAGGCAGAGTCAGTCCTCTGACTTTGTTTTTCTCCTTCAATCTAGTGTTGGCTATTCTGGATCTTTTGTTTCTCTCTATAAATTTTGGAATGTTTATCAATATCCACAAAATAACTTGTTGGGATTTTGATTGGGATTGTAACAAATCTACAATCATATTGTGAAGAACTGACATCTTGACAATATGAATCTTTCTACTTATGTACATATACTACCTCTCCATTTATTTATATCTTCTATTTCTTACATCAGAGTTTTGCAGTTTTCCTCATACAGATCTTGCACATATTTTGTTTGACTTATACGAAAGATTTCCTTTTTTTGGTGTAAGTTTAAATGATATTATGTTTTAAATTTCAAATACCAATTTTTCATCGTGGGTATATAAGAAAGCAATTGACTTTTGTATATTGGTTTTATGTATTCCAACCTTGTTATAATTGCCTTTTAGTTCCAAGAGTTCCTTGGTTGATTCTTAGGAATTTTCTATGTAGACAATTGTAGCATCTGTAAATAAAGACAGTTTTACTTCTGCCTGTCAAACATGTATACTGGTTGTCCTTTAATTATTGCAATATCCAAGAATTCAAGTACAATGTTAAAGAAGATTGGTGAAAATACACATCCTTCCTGCCTTTACCCCATCTTAGTGGGAAAGGATCTAGTTTCTCACCATTAAGTATCACGTTAGCTGTAGGTGTTTCACAAATGTTCTTTATCAAGTTGAAGAACTTCCCCCTTTATATCTAGTTTTCTGAGAGTTGTCATCATGAATGAGTATGGGAATTTGTCAAAGGGTGTTTCTGCGTCTCTTGATATGATTATGTGACTTTCCTTCATTAGCTTGTTGATTTATATTTGAATTTTTAAGCTATCTTGAATACTTGAAACAAATTTCATTTGTTCACTGCTGTGGTATGGATGTGGTCTGTTTTTGCCAAAACTCATGTTGAAATTTAATTGCAAATGTAGCAGTATTGATAGGTAGTGAGTTTTTAAAGAAGGTTTTGGTTCATGGGAGATCTGCTGTCAAGAATAATAATAAAATAAAAAAAAGAAAAAATTTATTCCAAGGGTATGATTCAACAGAAATAAACAAGTAAAAAAAAAAAAAAAAAAAAAGAATGGATTAATGCAGCTCTCACAGACTGGATTAGTTCTCATGGTACTGGGTTGGTTCTTATGACAGAATGTTGTTATAAAGCAGTCCTGCCTCTTGAATTTGGTCTTTTTGCCAAGGCTAGTTTCCCAGCCACTTCTCCACCATGTTATGATACAGCTAGAGGCCCTCACCAGAAGCCAAGCGAATGCTGGCACCATGCTTCTTGGGCTTCCCAGCCTCCAGAATCATAAGCCAAATAAGCAACTTTTCTTTATAAACAACCGAGTCTCAGGTATTCTGTTCTAGTAGCACAAAACAGACGAACAGTCATGGTTTATAAATTGTTTATACAATATTGGATTCTATTTGCTATTATCTTATTGAGAATTTTTACATCTATTTTCATGAGATAGATTGATTCTTTCCTCTAATATCTCTCTCTGGCTATGGTATTAGAGTAATGCTGGTTCATAGAATGAGTTAGGAAGTATTCCCCCATCTCCATTTCCTGAAAGAAATTGTAGAGAATCAGAATGAGTTCTTCCTGAAATGTTTGTTAGAATTCTCCAATGAGCTTCTTTGGGCTTGATTCTTTTTCGTTTGTTTTTGAAGGTTATCGATGATTGATTGAATTTTTAATAGATATAAGCCTATGCCGTTTCTTTACGGTTACTTGTGTGAGTCTTGGTAGATGTGTCCTTCAAGGAATTAGTCCATTTCATCTAAGTTATAAAATATGGGGCATAGAGTTGTTCATAATATCCCTTTATTATCCTTGTAATGTCAGTAATTTATGTTTTTTTCCTTTTTTATATAAATTTAAATTCATTTTTTTCTTTTCATTCTGAATTATCTTGTTGTGCCTCTTTGCATTTATCATTATGTTGTGCTTTATTTCAAATGGCAGCAATTGTGAAGTTTTGTTTATTGGATATTTTAAAATTTCTATACATATTCTTGAGGTTTATTCTGTGATGAAATTAAGCTACTTGAAAACAATTTGATCTTTTGGAGTCTTAATTTTTAAACATGGCTAAGTGAGACCAGCACAGTGTTTAGTTTGGGTGTTAAAATTTCCCCCATTACTGGGTAATCTTTCAGGTGTCCTATGAATTATAAGGTTTACCCCCCTCTGGCCTATGAGAATAGGACTAATCCCTTTCCTATGTGAGCACTGATGATTTTCCTTCTAACTGTTACAAAAACTTATTTCTTAGACCTCCTTTAGTTTCCAACGCACTGTTCATGTGTTGATTAGGATGCAGCTGAATAGACAAGGATGGACTTTGTAAATCTCCAGAGCTGTCTCTAGTATACTGCTCTACCCATTCTAGGCACTTTAGGATCCTGAGCTCCTGACTTGTCTTCTCAATTAACAGCTTCTGCCTGACTTTTCCCTGATTCTTCCTCCTAATGCCTTGGCCTGGAAATTCTCTTTGGGCAGTATACTGAGGCAATTATAGTTATTAACTTATTTTTTCATATCTCAGGGTTCAGGCTGTTGTCCTATATCTTGAGAACTTTTGTTTCATAAATTTGTCCATTATGTTAGTGGTTTCAGATTGGAAAGCACAGCTGGTATCTCTTCTTGGCAGAGACCAAATGTCAGTAGTATGAATCTGTTTCAGTGTTATGTTGCATATACAGGCCAGAAAAATCCACTGAGATGCATTTAGCTCGTGAGAAGAATTAATTGGTTTATGAATTCCAGGAAGGAGTTGAATACAGCTTCAAGTAAGGATACAAATTCTCCTGAGCCTCAGGGACACTTAAACTTTAAACAGCCTCTTTGTTTTCTCTAATTTCTACTTAATTCTATGTTCTAATATCATTCTCTCTCACTGTCTTAAAAAAATCAATCTTAATATTCAGAGAAGTTTACCATTGGTATCACAGCTTTTCTGCTTTTTCTTCATGCTTTTTCCATGTAAAGCTTGCAACCTGCAATTTCATTGTCTGTTTTAATTTTTATCACGCATATATATAACATTATTTTTACTTTCCTATTTCCTGAGGCACAGAAATCCAAATAACACATATATAAATCATGACAAAATGGAAACTATCTAGCAGTACTCTGGAAATATTTCAAGATTATGTAGACTAACGCAGACATAGAGACTAAAGATTTATTGAAAATAAATTTGAAAATCAAAGACACTGCATTAATTTTCATTAGTTTCATGTTCGAAAGTCAGTGATGTTTTTGTTTTTCATCTGATAGTAATATAGGGATGACTATTAAGTGAGTTAGTCACTAAATCAGGAAGAGAGTTTTTGAGGGAGGAAAGATGGGGATCACTTTTTGAAAGGAAGTAATTTATTATATCCTTGGCTACATTTCATTCAATCATATGCAAGAAATTTAGCTACCTAAAAAGCTCTTTCTAGAAAAACTAAATTTAAGTTTTAAATTTAAAAAGAAATTTTGACAAGTTAGATAATTATACACTTCCATGGTTGTTATTTTTTAGATGGTAGTCTTCTATATGATCAGATAATGGGGATCTCAGGTGTAATGAAGGATAAAGAGAAACAAAACACAATAATGTTTATTTAATGTATTTACTATAAAACTTGTTTTCATGACAAGAAGGCAGTTTAGTTGGCCAGGAATGTTTCTAATGTTTCTTACATGCAAGTTGCTCTTATAATAAGATAATTGATTTATTAACATATGGAACATACATTGTAAGCATAGTAAATGTCAGGCCATAAACTAGGCTTTTGAAATATAATTCTCTATGAAAGTATTTCAATTTCCTCAGGTGTTAGCAATCTCTAGGCAGTAATATGTATTTAAGTAAGTAAAGTTAATGATCAGTGATAAGTAACAGAATGGAGAAAAAGTAGGAGTCATCAGCTCCAGTTGGGATTTTCTCAGGAACTATAGTTGGGCTTGCATTATGAAGAGTGGAGGGGATCATAAAGCTGATGGATATGAGAGAAGCTTAGAAACTATAGATAATAGTATAAAGAAGTGAGAGCAGATGATATTCTTGTGTAATTATAACTCAATGTATATCAAATTTACCATTCATGGAAGGATGCATTGGTTGATGAGGTTAGATAGGCTGGGACCAGAAGCAGAAAGACTATTTCTATAACAGTTAAGTCTTTGGAGATAAGCTTTGAATCAATTGAGAACTACAGCAAGATTTAAGGAGAGATGTAATATAATTTATGGGATACTATTTTCTCCTAGTTAAAGATATAATGTTACCAATAATTATTTTTGGTTTTCCAGAACAAAAATGTTTTTGCATGTTAATCTCTCTCATGTTAATATTACTGAGTCATCAACTCTTTCATTTCATTATTTTTATCAAATTAATAGAAAATACAGAAATTGTGAATTAAAATGGAGATAGAAATAATCATGGGCATCATAGCTTTTAAAATTTTGATCTAGATAATTTTAATGCTGCATATTTCTGCCTGTTGTTCCTCAAATGACAACTTATCTGTTTTTTCCTTAGACAATTTGAGGGAAATGCAGAAGTTTGTTATTATTTATGTAATCATTTGATTATTGCCTTTTTAATGACACCCACTGAGTTTGATTAAACTTTTATCAAACTTTAGTTTTGCAATATATGGAGTCTAATTATCAAAAGGCATGTTTTATTATGTTTAATTTCTTATCGTGAAAAGTTGGGGGATACTGTGGCAGGGTCTTCTGAATTTCTACTCATTGGCTAGCTTTACAAATTCAATTTTGATAATTAAATTAAATTGTGGTCCCTACTGTTTGAAAACCTCTGAATTGCAGCAGGCCAGATGCTATTGCCTGATTAGATAGTGAGATATTTTAATCACCAGCTGTAGCATTATAAACCTGCTCTTTTAATACTTTCCTTTAAGTTCTCC
This sequence comes from Homo sapiens, assembly GCF_000001405.40. Taxonomy (NCBI): domain Eukaryota; kingdom Metazoa; phylum Chordata; class Mammalia; order Primates; family Hominidae; genus Homo; species Homo sapiens. Next base: position 31,147,426 of record NC_000009.12, on the reverse strand, counting down.
ATCTGCTTTCAGCATCTGGTCAGTTTTGCCTAGGTTGTCATTTTATTTCATTTCTACTTTGTTATTCCACATATAGAAAGGATTAAATGGAACTTCTATATTGCATTTATAACCAAATAAGATATACCATTATTCTTAATTTTAGCACACATTAACTAATAATTGTAGTAATACTCATGTTTCTATACAGTTTTCACTGTCAACACACATTTGGTACATAATATGGATCAATAATGTATTATACATAATAGAACAATATTCACTAGAAAACTAATTAATATGATTGCTTAAGATGGAAGTCCAACTTGCCCCTTCAAAAGGATGTCTTAATAAAATAACCTTGCCAAATTGTCTTTCATACATTTTAGATTACTATTGCATATAGAAAATGAAGTTAAAAGAGCCTTCATCTTTTACACATAGAATCCTTAAAAATAGGAAATGAAAGTATATAGTCAGTATGAGAAATGCCAGTTTCCTAGGTATGTGAGAAAACTGCTATTTGAAAGCTGTAGCTTTTGAATAAATTTTGGTAGGAGCAAAAAGAACAATAACAACACAAACAAAGGAGTATTTTAAAAGCATTAAAATTTGGATTTGATTTAAAAAGGCATTACAATTTGTATTTGGAGCAATTTTAACTGAGTTGCAACCAACATAGCAATAAAGTGATCAGATCAGGACATAGCTAACATGGGCTTCACTTCGTGTTTAGAGCTGATGGGAAATGAAGTGAAAGCGAGAATTTCATCAGAACTGAAAGATGTTTCCTAGTCATTACTTTTGCATTATTTTTTTTCTAATGAGAATGAGGCTAGAACGAATGTCAGCATGAACCTGCAATTAAAATAATATGTCACCTATTTCTGATGGATGATAGGATATATTAAAGAAATTGTACCTAACTCACACCAGTGTGTGTGATGAGCACTTAGTATCTACTATTTTTGACATATTTATAACACCCCAAATTAATGAAGAACTCCTTATAACATAAAGAAAAGATCCCTGAAAAAAAGAACACAAGTTATATCTTTAGCAAAATCCTCTTATATTGGTTGGGTCGATCATGATTGACTATGACAGCCTTTGATGCCAGAACCATTGCTAAGTCTTAAATACTTAACATACTATAAATCTAGGAATTGGTTATTTTATTTATGAACTTTGTTGTTTTAAACCAAGTTTAAATTACTTAATCCAAAAATGGTGCATGTAAATACAACAAGAAAAATTAAAATTAGTCTTTAATCAAACTAAAATGATATATTTGAGTGTACTCTTTTACTACTGGTAGTGATAGATAATACTTGCGGACAAAGTATTTATTTTTTTAATCAGACAGATTGAGTCATTTCTCCATCCAACATTTATTGATTTTAGCAAAGGCAAATACAAAAACAAATAAGCCAAATACTAATGGACTTTAATTGTGAAATGGCAGATTTAAGAAAATAATCTGTAAATTAGGAAAGTTAATTGATTAATCCAGATATTGATCTTAGGTATGTTATGTAAAACAAGGATAATTATTATAATGGTCAACATGAGGCAAAAAGGCAAAAGAAGGTTAAAAACACATTTAGTAATTATAACTAGATTTTGACGATGTTTATTAGAAACACCAGGTTTGTTTTTTTAGCTTCAGGGAAATAACACTATATCCTAAATATTCTTTCTTCAAAAATAAGCCATTTTACACAAATCATTGCTTAAAAAGCTCTTGCTACTATCCACTTTCCTCAAGAATGTGACTCCTTTTATTTCTTGTAAAAATCCACAATAAGAAAGAAACCAAAGCTATATTCCAATATGCAATAATAAATATGATATAAATTATACATTAGATGTTTTTCATACTACATTGTGCAAAATGTGCTCCTGTATCATTTTTTTTTCTGCAAATGAATAAATTTAGAAATGCTTAAACTATCTATTGATAGCTATTACATTTTCTCAAGATATTTGGAATATGTTTTGTGAGTCTTTTGAATAGCCTTCATAGAAAAAACTAGAAACTGCAATTCCTGATGATATGTTTTCATAAGCTGAAATACCTATTATTATTCATGGTACTGGAATTACTGTCTATTTTTATTACATTTCCAGAAACAAAAGGTGATTTGCAAACAAAATTATTAAAAGAGACAATTTTAATACCAGTATGTTGCAGAGAATACAAAAGAAAGATAAATTATTAAGATGTGCAAATCTTTTAAGAAAAGATACGACATGCAGGCAGGTATGCACCTATCTAGGAAATCAAACACATGCTGTTGAGACTATTTTTTAAATTTACAATAAGCGTTATTTTAAGGTATTTTATTTTGATTTTTTGGTACTTAGCTGCTGAACTTCTCATATATATATAATACCAACTGGAGAAAATTTTGACAACAAATATATATATGAGGAAATCACTCTTCACTATCATACTATACTCTACATGTTCCTTGCTGAAACCGAAGAAAGCAGGTAGCTATTTTCATAAAGAGTTCAATCACCTTCAGTATTACTCGGGATTCAAAACAGACTTCTCATAGTTCACCAGTTAATCTGCAGGGGATCTGGCAAAAGTTAGAAATCAGTGGATCCTGCTGAGACTTGCTGAAGAACTCTATGGATGAGAGCTCATGCAATAAGCAGCATGACAGCTGGATTAGTGCCATTTGTAAAAATGGTAACTTTGATATATGTGATATAGGCACAGGTAGAGATTGATACGTTGACTTAGATATTGAGTAAAATTACCAAGAAATTCAAAAAGCTTGATGTTAATTTAGGTCAAGCCCTTTAAAACAACCATATCTTCTGTTCTGAGTCAATATTTATTTGGCTCATTATTTAAAAAAATCAGAATTTAAATTTAATTAAAATCTATTTTGACAGAGGTAAATGTTAAACAATTTTAAAAAAAATCTTACTTGATCACTCATGGATACTCATATCAAAAAAGAGGGGGTCTTTTAAAAATAATGAAATCAGGCAACACTTTTATAATTTCATTTATGTCTGTACGTCTTGAATGGTTGATTGACAGAGGAAAGTATTCCTTTTGCAATGATTAGCCATACCCTTGAAAAAAACTCCTAGAAGGTATAAAACACACATTACCAAAAATAAATAATTCAGTTGTATGTGTTTTTCTTATTATTCTTCCCTTACTCATTTCAATTGAGAGACAATAGTAGAATCATTTTGGTAAAAGCTACTCTGCAGCCACATAAGGGCCTTATCAACACTGTCTTTGTCCTGAATAAACCCACGAGAAACTTTAATGCAGTGTTTTGTCATCACAGACCAAAACTCCCACCTTAGAGAACTATCTTCCTCTCAGCACGTTGTCCTCAATGTTTTATTATTATTATTATTTATTATTATTATTATACTTTAAGTTCTGGGATACATGTGCAGAACGTGCAAGTTCATTACATAGATACACGCGTATCATGGTGGTTTGCTGCACCCATCAACCCGTCATCTACATTAGTTATTTCTCCTAATGCTATGCCTCCCCTAGCCCCCCCACCCCCTGACAGGCACTGGTGTGTGATGCTCCCCTCCCTGTGTCCATGTGTTCTCATTGTTCAACTCCCATTTGTGAGTGAGAACAGGGGGTGTTTGGTTTTCTGTTCCTGTGTTAGTTTGCTGAGAATGATGGTTTCCAGCTTCATCCATGTCCCTACAAAGGACATTAATTCATCCTTTTTATATGACTTCATAGTATTCCATGGTGTATATGTGTCACATTTTCTTTATCCAGTCTATCATTGATGAACATTTGGGTTGGATCCAAATCTTTGCTATTGTGAACAGTGCTGCAATAAACACACGTGTGCAAGTGTCTTTATAGTAGAATGATTTATAAAACTTTGGGTATATACCCAGTAATAAGATTGCTGGGTCAAATGGTATTTCTGGTTCTAGATCCTTGAGGAATTGCCACACTGTCTTACCCAATGGTTGAACTAATTTACACTCCCAACAGTGTAAAAGCGTTCTTATTTCTCCACATCCTCTCCAGCTTCTGTTGTTTCCTGACTTTTTAGTGATCGACATTCTAACTGGCATGAGATGGTATCTCCTTGTGGTTTTGATTTGCCTTTCTCTAATGGCCAGTGATTATAAACCTTCTTTCGTATGTTTGTTGGCTGCATAAATGTCTTCTTTTGAGAAGTGTCTGTTCATATTCTTCTCCCACTTTTTGATGGGGATGTATTTTTTTTCTTGTAAATTTGTTTAAGTTCCTTGTAGATTCTGATTATTAGCCCTTTGTCAGATGGATAGATTGCAAACATTTTCTCCCGTTCTGTAGGTTGCCTGTTCACTTTGATGACAGTTTCTTTTGCTGTGCAGAAGCTCTTTAGTTTAATTAGATCCCATTTGTCAATTTCAGCTTTTGTTGCCAAAATTAGTCGTGAAGTCTTTGCCCATGCCTATGTCCTGAATGGTACTGCCTAGGCTTTCTTCTAGGGTTTTTATGGTTTTTGGTCTTACGTTTAAGCCTTTAATTCATCTTGAGTTATTTTTTTATAAGGTGTAACGAAGGGGTCCAGTTTCAGTTTTCTGCATATGGCCGGTTATTTTCTTTTATTTGCAACCCACAGGCAAAAGTGGTTTCTTTTTAGCAAACCTCTATTATTTTTATTGTTTTCCTTCAGATGAGTTGGCTTCAGAAAAGCTTGTTTATTTTAGGATTTACTGAAAGCTGCATGATTAGCTAACACAGACTTTATGACATTTTCCTGCTTCAACTACTTTTGCAGGCCGAGTAGATGCAAGATCTGCATCTTGGTGTACTATAGATTACAGATTCACAGCTGTTTCACTAACATGTAGTAAGGATTTCCAGTTTCAGTTTGCAAGGGTATAGGGTAGCGTTGGGAGTTGGGGAGTGTGGAAAATCCTTACTACCCTTTGTTCTACCCCCTTAGTTTACTTTATTCAAATTTCAAGATCTCTTATTGTCAATCTTTATTTCCCTTTGTTTATCAAATTCTGAATCAGTTTAAATGCCTTTGCTTGCAAGTAATGGTTCATGTAAATAAAGAATTCGTGTGAGGCCAGGCTTGGTGGCTCATGCCTGTAATCCCAGCACTTTGAGAGGTGGAGGCAGGCAGATCACCTGAGGTCAGGAGTTCGAGACCAGCCTGGCCAACATGGTGAAACCTCGTCTCTACTAAAAATACAAAAATTAGCCAGGCATGGTGGCAGGCGCCTGTAATCCCAGCTACTCGGGAGACTGAGGCAGGAGAATCAGTTGAACCCGGGAGGCGGAGGTTGCAGTGAGCCAAGATCGTGTCATTGCACTCCAGCCTGGGGGACAAGAGCAGGACTTCATCTCAAAAAAAAAAAAAAAAAAAGAATTTGCGTGTAGATCTTAGAACTCCTACACAAAGTTCTGATGTTCAGTCTGATTGAACTGGCTACAGTCACATTTCACTGTGACCAAGAAAATAGAATTTGCTGATGGATTTAACCAAATGCATATGAACTAGAGTTTGGACCTTGAATATAGTCAATTTTCAAATGAAGTCCCAATGAAAATGAGCAAATTCATATGAACTAGAATGTGCACCAATTTTCAAATGAAGTACCAATGAAAGTGAGCAGTTTAGAAGAGAAAAGGCAGCTTAAGAGCTTACAATTCAATTAATTAATGCACATTACTATCTCCATAAATTTTCCTGAATCTCGTGCAAGTTTTAAATTATTTATATCTTCCACAGAAAAAATACAGATAATTTTTTATATTTGTCTTATTAAAATTTAAGTCCTACAGAAATTAAAGGACAATAAAGAGCCCTAGTAAGAATAGTTGTGAATATTGCGTAGCTACCATACCAAAATTATTTTTTAAAAAAAGCCAGCTAACTTAGAGGCCATGAAAATTAAACTGGCATTTAATTTGCTTTCTTCTTTTTTGTACAAACTCTTTGAACTGTAATTAAATTTATTTCTAACACAAATACAGCAACAAACACAGTTTTTGACTAAATGAGCTTAGAAAGTGCCTAATAACCCATTAGAGAACTATTTGTGAAATTATAGTTATCCTTATGGAGGTCCGTACCTTGTCAAGACAACTGTAAATCCCAACAACACATTCTGAAAAAAAGACTATTTCTCAAGAAGGAGGTCTGGTTTCAAAGCTCTCAATCAGTATTTAGTAATGGAAAAAGGAGTATGAGTTAAAACATAATTGAATTATGCTGCTGTAGATATAAATAACTGGCAAGCAGAGTAGTTATGAAGATTAAATGAAGAAACATAAATGAATTTAGCAAACAATACATAAACAGGTCCTCAAACTCTAAGAGTGATTCAGTTGTTTAGTTATGTTAAGGACTATTTTTAAAATTTTGGTTAGAATTAGAAATAAAAATAGCTAGAAGAGAAGATTTTGAATGTTCTCAACACTAAGAAAAATGTTTGTGGTGACAGATATGCTTATTACTTGGATTTGGACATTACGTGTGGCATACATGAACTATCACACTGTACCCTATAAACATATGCAGGTATTATGTGTCAATTAAAATAATAATTATAATAAAAAGAACTGAAAATTAAATGAGTGCAGGGATTTGAATTACTTCACTGCCTTTCTCACTACTCCGTTTTCTATGCTTCTTATAAAGCTGCTTTTTTTGTCTCTGAATCTTCACCCTCCATTGCTACTATGGTTGAGAGAATAAGTAACTTTCCAATAGAGTCACATTGAAAAATCCCTTATTGTTGAAAATTTCAAACCATCATGCACATTACTTCCTTTATAATAGCATTACATACTCTTGCTCATCGTAGAGGCCCAGGCTTTAATTAACTCATTCATGACTCAACTACTACATTTTGTCTCTCCCCAGCACAAGTACTCCAAGTAACTTTATATTTCTAGTTCATACCCTAGGGGGAGCCAAAAGGTAGTTACTGATATCTTAGTTTAAAATGATCCTTGTGTCATTCTTGTGTGCCCCAAAAAATCACTGAAAAAATGTATTTGCTTTGTCAAATAAGTTATATTGTTTCTGCTTCTAAGCTCAGAAAACTACACTTCAATAGGCTCATTCTAAAATCATAATTACAAGTAAGTCTCTAGATATAATGATTGAATCTTCAAAGTCACTATTCTCCGTCTTCACATTTATATGAAGTATCTTATACCTCGTGTTTGCTTATTTATTCATTCACATTTTTATTAAATATCTATTATTTACCAGAGGACATGTTAAGTTTTGGGGGATATAGTGGTGTCTAGAACACACTTAATAATTAGCATTAGTGAATTTACGTATGTTGATAGTATCAACTATTTCAAACAGGCTTCGTGTCATGTGCATTTGATTTAATAGCCTTGATATTTTTAGCTTAACATTCCATTAGTTCTTCATGGAGTCTTAATGGAAGTTCTAAAATACTTATTTTTACTTGTGTAAATGTGTTTAATGTAGCATAAGAAGGTTGAGTCTTGACACACTTTAATGTATTCAACTTGATTTCCTTCTGACTCTATATTGATCATCCCTTTAGAATTTCCTTCCCATTCATTCAGACATCACCCCAGTTCCTCCACCAAAGCAACATCCACATATTACAGACATATCGAATGAGTTAAATTTACAAACCTGAAAAGCAAATTACCTCCATGTTTTAAAAATACTCAAATATATGAAGGGGCTTCACATAGGAAAGGAACATTCTGGATTTTCCTTAAAGAAGATATTCAAGGCAGCCATGATAGCCACCAGAAGGGACTATGTAAATGCACATAAGCATTTGCTTAGGGTAAAAGAGTTGTCTTGTGTTTGAAATGAAATTGATTGTATCTGAATGATGACCTCACTAAGCAGGTATTTAAGCCATGAAATCTAGGAGGTGTTTGCAATGCTTTATTTAAAAAGATAATTCTGTTCTTTGCATTATGAGAATCACTGAGTCAAGACTATGGAGGCGTACCAGTGAAGTTTTAATATCTTCATGGACACCTTGCCTGAATAAAATACGATTTCTAAAGAAGAAACACACAAGATCAAACAAATGGATATTTTCAGATCTAGTTATTTTTTGTTTAAAAATATAGAAGATAGGCTTTTGGTTGGGGACCATGGATTGCCTAGAAGACAGTACTAAAGAGGGAACAGCAAGGCAAGGGATCATGAAAGAAGCTCCATGATAATAAAATGGTGTATATACCTTGTTTTGCCTTTTCAATAACCACTACCTGCCTTAACTTCTCTAAGAACTTCTTTTATCTTTTCTTTTATTAAAAATAGTGTACTTCCACCCTCTAATCCACTTACACAGTGGATTAGACATAGCAGGAACCTATTCCTAACTCAAACCAATTATCTTTCAGTTTGTTTGTGTTTTTGTAATTGGTGTAATTCAGAAACTGTCAAATTTCTTTGGCTATGTGGTCTTGGAAAAACAAAGAATGTAATGAAGAGAGAAGAATGAAGTAGGCATGTAGAAAAGGCATCAAGAGACAGAAAGCAAATTCTTATTAGACTCAGAGTTACATCTCATGCCCAGCTGTCTGCATTCCTTCCCTTAATTTCTTTTTTTTTAAAACGTTTATTTTATAGGTTCAGGGGTACATGCACAAGTTTGTTATATAGATAAATTGCATGTCTTGGGAGGCTGGTGTACAGATTATTTCACCACTCAGGTAATAAACATAATACCTGATAGGTAGTTTTTTGATCCTCACCCTTCTCTCACCCTCCACCCTCAAGTAGGACCGAGTGTCTCTGGTTCTCTTCCTAATTTCTGTAAGATATTTTGATATTCTTATAACAAATTTCTGAGTTTTCTTATTTTATTTTAGGAGTGATATTGTTTTATTCATCTTAAAATTTTAAACTTTAAATTCACATTACGAAGTGATCTCTTTCAAAGTTGGTTGATAGCATTTTTAACAGCCTTTAATGTCTGTCCTATATGTATTCAGCTAATCAGAAAATTGTCATGTGATAGTACTTGTGGACCATAATTTATTTAAAGTTGATCAAATTTAAAGTCGATAATACAGTCCACTTGAAGACAATTTATTTTTTGTACTTTGGTATGCAAATATATATGTACATATTATATATATAATATTTCCAAATTAAATGTTAAGATATTAATCCTCTGACATCTTAAATAAAATAAATATCAAACATAATGTGTAAATTTCATTTGTGGTGGAAAGGTCATTAAAAAATGTAAGAAAAAAATAGCCAGCCATGGTGGCCCACACCTGTAATTCCAGCAGTCTGGGAGGCCAAAGTGGGTGGATTGCTTAAGCCCAGAAGTTCAAGATTAGCCTGCATAATATACTGAGACCCTGTCTCTACACACACACACACACACACACAAAAGTAGCCAGGCTTGGTGGTGTATGACTGTAGTGCTAGCTACTTGGGAGCCTGAGGCAAGAAGATCACTTGAGCCTGTGAGGTTGAGGCTGCAGTGAGCCACTGATCATGCCACTGCACTCTAGCCTGGGAGAGACTGAGGTATGATTGTGCTACTCCACTCCAACCTGGGTGACAGAGCAAGGTTAGAAAAAAAAAATTGAAAAAGAAAAAAAGGAAAGAAAAAAATAGTCCTGTTTTAACCGTGTAGATATGCTCTTTGCTTAACCATTTCATTCAGTTATCCCTACTGTTAACCAAGTCCCATAGTAAACAATTATTTAATGATTAAATCCTCTGATGATTTCAAAATAAAACTCGGGCCATTCTCAACTGTAAGGACTGTGGCAAAAATAATTCTCACAAAACTTCCTCTTTAGTCACATAGTGTTCTAAAGCATTTAAAAAAAAGGTAAGGGATGTTTTATTTCCATCTGGGTCAGGTGTGAAGGTCAGTGCTATAGAAAATGGTAGGAGGCACATTCAGCAATATTTTTCCTTTTCTTTTTTAACGTTCAAAAGCAAGTATAGAATCCACCTACACAAGAGACTTTGTTCAGAGTTATTTGATTTGGATTCCTACTGTGCAATGACACATTGCCTAACTATGTGCTGGGGCAGAGAAATTGAGTATGAAGTTGTGGTGAGCTGTGGTCAGGCCTGGCCACAGAAAACCCATGGGTGGACATAAAGAAAAAAACTTCTCATCACTGACGCATGAATGTAGATAAGAAGAGAGTGATACTGCATAGACGAAGCCAAAATTTCCAGGCCTGTAACCCTAACACGAAGTCTGGTAAACATGGCCTGATAAAAGGTTTGTTTTCAGTTATTTTAGTACTTAGACTTTTCATGTGTAGACATGAGTCCACAGACTTTCTGACTTAGTGGACTGAGACTCCTACAACTGAGTTGTGGAAATCATAACACTTTGCACACAGCTGCATGAGACACAAGGAAAAATGATAGCCCTGTTCAAACACCTATATGCTACCTGTTTGCAACTTTGCACTAATTTTTAGCCGCTTTAAGAGTAAGTCCGTATAAAAGTAGTTTGAAACAAATCCAAATTGACATTATTTCCTCTCCTTTTATGCGTAATGACTCTGTGATCTGCCCAAATGAAGGAGATTTATATTATATTTTTCCTGTTACACACACACACACCTTCACACAAATACATGCACACACATACTCACTGTCTTTTTACAATGTCTTTGGAAACAGGTAGAAGAAAGTATTAATACTATATGTGTCATGCCTGTAGTGCTAGCTACGTGGGAGGCTGAGGCAAGAGGATCACTTGAGCCTGTGAGGTTGACGCTGCAGTGAGCCATTGATCATGCCACCACACTCTAGTCTGGGAGAGAATGAGCTATGATTGTGCTACTCCAATGAGCTATGATTCTGCTACTTTGGGTATGAAAAATACAGTAAATGGGCTTCATTTGAAGTCTTTCTTAGATGTGTAAGTGAGATGATTCTGGGCCATTATATTTTGCTCACATGGTATCTCCTTGGCCTAGAGGGTCAGAGTCTCTAGATCACAGATGCATCTTCCTTCCATGTATGAGGATCAGGAAGAGTTCTCACAGTGCACTTATGAGTAAAGATCACAACAGTGTAAAGTGCTTTCTTCCAAGATAGGCGTTAACTAACTTCCTTCCTTCCTTCTTTCCTTCCTTCCTTCCTCCTTCCCTCCCTCCCTCCCTTTCTCTTTCTTCCTTTCTTCTTTCCTTCCGTCTATCTGTCCTTCCTTCCTTTCTTCTCTCTCTCCTCCTTCCTTCCTTCTCCGTTTCTCCTTTCTTTCTTTCTTTTTCCTTTTAAATGACCTATGTAAATGTCAAATAAGTGCCAAGTATTAATAGAGTTAACATTTATTGAGTATTTGGCATCATGCATTTTTAATTATTAATTTATTAAATAATAAAAAGTAAACCACTATTATCCTCAATTTGCAAATGAAGTTATTAAGATACTAGAAAATATATTTCTTACCATGATCAAAGAGCTAGAAGTTATTAGAGACAAAGTTTTGATGTGCTGATTAATATAAACTCAGAGAAGTAGAAGTTTGAACTAGAATTTGAAAGAAGATGCCTGCCTTCAGGATATGAGCTCCTAACCAGTATTTGATGCTGCCTTTAAAGGTTGTTGAATTCCCATATTATCAAGCAAGATATTTTGTGCCCATATTACAGATAAGGAAATCTGAAACCTAAGCGATGATGTCATCCTCTCTTTGTTACTAAGTTATTAAATAGTACAACTGGAACTTAAACTCAGGTTTGTCTGACTCCAACGAGAGCAGCAGAGTACTGTATTACTGTTCATTTGGCTAGCTGATGTGACATATTTTGATTTGTCCAATTATTATGATGATGTTGAATTTTCTTCAACTTCATTTTCCTCCCGGGACATGATTGCAATAATGCACCAGTGCAGATGAGTCAGAAAAGTAGAAGAAAAATCATTGTTTATATAAACATTTCAGGAATCTTGAGTATAAAAATAATAATTTTAATCCCAATATTAATGATTTCCTGAAAGATTTCCAGGCAATGACAATAAGGAAAAAAATAAAGGAAATTTGCTTCACTTGACATAAAATAGATGAAAGCTGTTTAACTAGGAAAAAAACATAGGCATATAGGTCAATGTGGAAAAAAAAATAGAGAACTATAAGAAAGAAAGAAATGACATTAAACATGGTACTTTAACAAGGCTTTGAAATTAATGGAACTTACACAACCTAATAAATGATATGAGTGAACAGTTCATAGGAACAAATATAGCTAATAAAGGTAGTAAAAGTTCTTAACTTCACTCATAAATAAGTAAATACAAAAGAGATACTATTTTCAGCTCTCAGATGGCCATATATTTATATGTTTCCTAGCAGCAGTGAGGGTGAGAAAATAGGCAGGAATTCTTATATACTAGTTTTCTCCTTCTTTCTCTCTCTCTCTCTCTCTCTTTCTTTCTTTCTTTTTTGAAACAGAGTATTGCTCTTTTGCCCAGGCTGGAGTGCAGTGGCATGATCTCCATTCACTGCAATCTCCGCCTCCTGGGTTCAAGCAATTCTTGAGTCTCAGCCTCCCAAGTAGCTGGGATTACAGGCATGTGCTATCACGCCCTGTTTTTTGTTGTTGTTGTTTGTTTTGTTTTTTGTTTGTTTGTTTTGCATTTTTAGTAGAGACAGGATTTTGCCAGGTTGGCCAGGCTAGTCTCAAACTCCTAGCCTCAAGTAATCCATCCGCCTCAAACTCCCAAAGTGCTGGGATTACAGGCTTGAAGTACCACGCTCAGCTCTTACCTACTGTTTTTGTTTTGTTGTTTTGTTTTAATTTTATTTTTCTGTAAGTTATTGGAGTACAGGTGGTATTTGGTTATATAAGTAAGTTCTTTAGTGGAGATTTTTGAAAACCTGGTGCACCCATCACCGGAGCAGTATACACCGCCCCATATTTGTTGTCTTTTATCCCTCACCCCCCTTCCACCTCCCCAAGTCCCTAAACTCCATTGTATCATTCTTATGCCTTTGCGTCCTCACAGCTTAGCTCCCACATATCACTGAGAACATACGATGTTTGGTTTTCCATTCCTGAGTTATTTCACCTGGAATAATAGTCTCCAATCTCATCCAGGTCACTGCAAATGCTGTTAATTCATTCCTTTTTATGGCTTAGCAGTATTCCATCATATATGGAATATATATATATATATCGGAATATACATATATATCGGAATATATATATTTTGGAATATCTATATATATCTCAGATATATATATATATCTGATATATATGTATGTATATGTGTGTATATATATATGTATATATATATGTATGTATGTATGTGTATATATATATATCAGAGTTCCTTTATCCACTGATTGATGGGCATTTGGGTTGGTTCCACGATTTTCCTATTGTGAATTGTGGTGTTATAAACATGTGCAAGTATCATTTTCAAATAATGACTTCTTTTCCTCTGGGTAAATACCCAGTAGTGGGATTGCTGGATCTAATGGTAGTTCTACTTTCAGTTCTTCAAGGAGTCTCCGTGCTGTTTTCCATAGCAGCTGTACTAGTTTACATTCCCACAGCAGTGTAGAAGTGTTCCCTGATTGCCGCATCCACACCAACATCTGCTGTTTTTGATTTTTTGATTATGGCCTTTCTTACAGGAATAAGGTCGTATCACATTGTGGTTTTGATTCGCATTTCCCTGATCATTAGTGATGTTGAGCATTTTTTCGTATGTTTTGTTGGCAGTTTATATATCTTCTTTTGAGAATTGTCTATTGATGTCCTTAGCTCGCTTTTTGATGGGATTGTTTTTATCTTACTGATTTTTTTCCATGGATATTAGTCCTTTGTCAGATGTATAGATTTTGAAAATTTTTTCCGACTCTGTGGGTTGTCTGCTTACTCTGCTGACTGTTCCTTTTGCTGTTCAAAAGTAGTTTAATTAGAACCTAGCTATTTATCTTTGTTTTTATTGTAATCGCTTTTGGGTTTTTGGTCATGAAATTCTTTCCTAAGCCAATGTCTAGAAGGATTTTTCCTATGTTATGTTCTAGAATTTTTACAGTTTCAGGTCTTAGGTTTAAGTCCTTAATCCATCGTGAGTTGATTTTTGCATAAGGTGAGAGATGAGGATCCAGTTTCATTATTCTACATGTGGCTAGCCAATTATCCCAGCATCATATGATGAAAAGGGTGTCCTTTCCCCACTTTATGTTTTTGTTTGCTTTGTCAAACATCAGTTGACTTTAAGTATTTGGGTTTATTTCTGAGTTCTCTATTTTGTTCCATTGGTGTATGTGCCTATTTTTATACCAGTACCATGATGTTTTGGTGACTATGGCCTTATAGTATAGTTTGAAATCAGGTAGTGTGATGCCTCCAGATTAGTTCTTTTTGCTTAGTCTTGCTCTGGCTCTGCGGGCTCTGTTTTGATTCCATATGAATTTTAGAATTGTTTTTTCTAACTCTGTGAAGAATGATGGTGGTATTTTGATGGGGATTGCGTTCTGGGATACAGTTAAGGTGGTGCTAAGAGGAAAGTTCATAGCCCTAAACGCCTACATCAAAAAGTCTGAAAGAGCACAAATAGACAACCTAAGGTCACACCTCAAGGAACTAGAGAAACAAGAAAAAACCAAACCCAAACCCAGTAGAAGAAAGGAAATAACTAAGATCAGATCAGAACTAAACGAAATTGAAAAAAAAAAAACAGGAAAAAAGTACAAAAGAAATGAAAAAAAAGCTGGTTCTTTGAAAAGAATATTTGATTGATAGACCAAGAAAAGAAGAGAGAAAATCCAAATTACCAGACTGGGAAATGAAACAGGAGATATTACAACTGACACCACAAAATACAAAAGATCATGCAAGGCTACTATGAACCACCTTTACATACATAAACTAGAACACCTATGAGAGATGGATAAATTCCTGGAAATATACAACCCTCCTAGCTTAAATCAGGAAGAATTAGATACCCTGAACAGACCAATAACAAGCAGTGAGATTGAAATATTAATTAAAAAATTACCAACCAAAAAAAAAGTCCAGGACCAGACGGATTCACAGCAGAATTCTACCAAACATTCAAAGAAGAATCCTTTTGAAACATTTCCACAAAATAGAGAAAAAAAGAACCCTCCCGAATTCATTCTATGAAGCCAGCATCACCCTAATACCCAAATCAGGAAAGGACACAACCAAAAAAAGAAAACTACAGACCAATATCCTTGATAAACGTAGATACTAAAATCCTTAACAAAATACTAACTAACTGAATCCAACAACATATCAAAAAGATAATTCACCATGATTAAGTGGGTTTCATACCAGGGACGCAGGGATGGTTTAACATATGCAAGTCAATAAATGTGATTTACCGCATAATCAGAATTAAAAACAAAAATCACATGATCATCTCAATAGATGCAGAAAAAGCCATAGACAAAATCTAGCATCCCGTTATGATTAAAACTCTCAGCAAAATCAGCATACAAGAGACATACCTTAATGTAATAAAAGCCACCTATGACAAACCCACAGCCAACTTAATAGTGAATGGGGAAAGGTTGAAAGCATTCCCTCTGAGAACTGGAACAAGACAAGGATGCCCATTCTCACCACTCCTCTTCAACATAGTACTGGAAGTCCTAGCCACAGCAATCAGACAAGAGAAAGAGATAAAAGGCATCCAAATCGGTCAAGAGGAAATCAAACTGTCCCTGTTTGCTGACAATATGATCGTTTGCCTTGAAAACCCTAAGGACTCCTCCAGAAATCTCCTAGAACTGATAAAAGAATTCAGCAAAGTTTCTGGATACAAGATTAATGTAAACAAATCATTAGCTCTTCTATACACCAACAGTGACCAAGAGGAGAATCAAATAAAAAACTCAACCCCTTTCATAATAGCTGCAAAAAATAAATAAATAAAATACTTAGGAATATACCTAACCAAGGAGGTGAAAGACCTCTACAAGGAAAGCTACAAAGCACTGGAAGAGAAATCATAGAAGACACAAACAAATGGAAACACATACCATGCTCATGGATGGGTAAAATCAATATTGTGAAAATATATTGTTGATTGAAGTGTGGATTGGTACAGTTATCAATGACAATCAGAAAATATCCTCTACATTTAGAAATTTCACTTGTTCTTTGACTAACAATTTCACTTCTAGAATTTTTAATGTTTGCATATATTTGAAATGCATATAAAGAAATATGAAGTTAACTGTAACACTCTGAAGAGATTTTTTAAAAAACCTTGTACACGCTGGGCACGGTGGCTCACACCTGTAATCCCAGCATTTTGGGAGGCCGAGACGCGTGGATCGCGAGGTCAGGAGATCGAGACCATCCTGGCTAACATGGTGAAACCCCATCTCTACTAAACAAAATACAAAAAATTAGCCGGGCGTGGTGGCGGGTGCCTGTAGTCCCAGCTACTAGGGAGGCTGAGGCAAGAGAATGGCATGAACCCAGGAGGCGGAGCTTGCAGTGAGCCGAGATCGCGCCACTACACTCCAGCCTGGGAGACAGAGCAGGACTCCGTCTGAAAAAACAAACAAACAAACAAACAAAAACCTTGTATACTACTTCATTTATATGTGGGTTTTTGGTTTAATAAAACAAAACACCAAAAACCCATATATAGGGTGAAGTAATATACAGTAAATAAGATATATTCACAACCTAATGTTAGTTGTTCTTTATAAAGAAAAATGTTAGCTCAAATGTGCTTATATATAGCCGTCTATATACTACACAGTATGTGAACAAAAACACCCAGCAAAATGTACAAACACGTATAGTATTTTTTCACGTTACACACACACACACACACACACACACACACACACACACACACAAATACACAGCCTGTCCAGAATCAAGACAACAGAAGTAAAACTGAGGCAAATCTAATTTTGATAATTTAGATAAAAGTAAAAATGATAAATGGGATGAATGTATAGAGATCAAGTTTCAGCAGAAGAGGTGTGTCAATATCAATCCTGGGATAAAATATTTTACTTAGATTACAATGAGAGATTCTTCACCTGGCTAGCTAGGGTGGTTTAATTGTTATTTTAATCAGTATAATACATGCACACTTAAAAAATCATGCCACTACTGCTACAAGCCTAAACTAAGTTCAGCAAGCTTTAAACCTTCCAGTCTGCCCTGCTGCCCAGAGGCAATCCCTAAAATAATTTTAGTGATTACTTTTACTAGTTTTCTCCATATTTTAATATGTATATAACTACATTTTTAACCAGTTTTAGACATTACATTTTATCTTGTAGTGCGTGAAAATTTTAACATTCTTAGATCTGTTGTTCTTGCATTTTCTTTTCTCTTTTCCTCCTCAAATTAATCAGACAGACACAAGTGACGTTTTCATACCTCTGGGTTAAAATCTCAGTGGGAAGATTAAGTGGGAAACAGCAGGGATTGAGAAAACTTCAGGGGAAGGAAGGACTATTGCTTTCTTTTCCATGAACAACTCTTAAAGGATCAAGGTAGTCTCTCAATATTTGTTGAATTCGTCACAGTAAAACTGACAGCTCAAGATGAATAGGCAGAAGGAGAACTTGAGCTAAATTTCTCAGAGCCTCCTTCAAGTCTCTGAGGTGCTCAAGGTATCAACAACAGTATTTGTTGCATATAGGGACTCAGAAGTTTTCAGATGTGAGGCTCTCAATGACGTTGCTGCAGTAGGAGCAAAGTGACCCTGATTACAAGGGTTATAAAGAAGAATACTGAGACAGCAGGTGGAATGGGAATCTAAGCTGGATCTCAGAGGAATCTGCAGCTCTGAAGAGAGCTGAGTAAGATCAATAGGGAAACCAACAGAGTATAAACATTTTTTTGCCCTGAAAGATCTGAGAAAAAATAAAACTTGAAGTGACCAAGGTAGCCTTAGCTTTCCCCTCAGCTTGAATAAACTTTGGACAGATTGTTTCCTGACTGTAGGCTCCAGATCTCCCTTCTTTAAAGCACTTCCTTTAGAAAACTCACACTTATAAATTCTTTTTATACCCTTTGAGGTATAAGTGTTCTTCTCTCAGTCACCGGCCAGTTTTACAACCCAGGAATGTTTTTCTCAATGACCTGGCAGCCCCACTTTGTAATATAATTCTCAAGAAAGATTGCACCCCTAACTCACAGTCTTTGAGAGGGTAGGAGCCTGACTTTGATAAAGTCCAAAGAGCAAATGTACATGGCCTAATCATATTGACCAACCTACCACATTGACCCTCCAGTACTTTCTTACTAGGTCACCTAGAACTTAAAAATTATCCTGCCTTGAGCTGAGTCAGGCAGCTCATGCCTGTAATCTCAGCAACTGGAGAGGTTGAGTCTGGGGAATTGTTTGAGGCCAGGAGTTCAAGTCCAGCCTGGGAAACATAGAGAGACCACATCTCTAAAAATATTTGTTTAAATAGGCAGGCATGTCAGCATGTACCTGTAGTCCCAGCTGTTCGGGAGACTGAGGCAGGAGGATCCCTGGAGCCCAGGAGTTTGAAGCTG
This sequence comes from Homo sapiens, assembly GCF_000001405.40. Taxonomy (NCBI): domain Eukaryota; kingdom Metazoa; phylum Chordata; class Mammalia; order Primates; family Hominidae; genus Homo; species Homo sapiens. The sequence continues at coordinate 31,128,960 of NC_000009.12, read as the reverse complement.
CAGTGAGGCATAGTTGAGCCACTGCCCTCCAGCCTGGGTGACAGAGCAAGACCTAGACTCTAAAAACAAACAAACAAACACACACACACACACAAACAAAAAAACAAGAAAACAATTCTGCCTCTTGTTTCAATGTTTCTTCCCTATTGCAATGGTCTCAACCCCGTTTTGCAATTGTCTTGAATAATCTATTTTGTGGGTTTAACTCCCACCAGTGAGATTTTTCTTTGACAGAGGTCACAACTGCAAAAATTAGCACAGAACTCCCAAATGGTGAGTGTCAGCTGGTCACAGGATATAAGCATAGATACCAGAGGAACTGAATAGAGTTCACGGACCTGTACACATATAAGTGAGACTTCCTGAGCACCACTGGGTAACCCCTCTATTCCTTATACACAGGTATTCCATCTTGAAGAAAAGAAGCAAGAAAGGAAGAAAATATAAACAAATGACTATTTCCTCCCCCTCAAAGAAGTTGAATTTAAAAAGGTAATTTTATTTTATTGGAGTGAATTATTGGATTGGGTTTAACGTAGTTCACCCTTCCTATTTATGTGTTTCCATCCCCATGGCTGTGCAGTAGGATGAAGTTTTCTGATAAGACTATAAGACAAATCATAGAAATACAATATATCTACATTGTGTGTATACATGTGTGTATAAATTTACAAACCTATTGAGTAATTACAGCATTATATTGTTAACATTTAAAGTAAAATGCAACATTAAGCCTAAAATATAAAAATATTTAGTTTTTTAAAACAAATTTTATGATTGCATTCCATGGTTAATCTCTATGAATAAATTGCTTCAATTGCTAAAAATGATGGAAATGTTTATTGATTAAATAAAAAGGGGTGTTGCCTTTCTATGCCTCACAGAACACTTACAATAATGGTTTTCTCATAGCTGTCCTGAAAATTGTAATGAATATAAATAAAATTAATGGATCATGATATTACTATTTTTTTGTTATTGACAATTTTACTACATATTTTACAATTTTATTGTTAAATAATTTCTCACAAGCTTAAGTTAATGTCTAGAGGTTCAAATTAGAAACTGTTACGAAAATTTCTTTTTTTTATAGGGAAGACATTATATAAAATATTTGGTAATACCACAATTTTTTTTTTTACTTCAAAGATGCAGAAATTATTCAGCATTTTCTAGACTTAACTTCAAGAAGGTGGGGGGCATGGCAAATATTAGATCCCCAAAGATATATGTGTTTCTTATTGGTATACTTATATAAAATAAATCCACCTTATCAATGGAGGAAGTAAAATAATTCACAAATAATAGCATGTGTTTGCCATGGCACACAGTTCTCCATCAGAGTTATGTTGCTAACTTAAGTTCAAAGCATGAATGGTAAATGACTCTCTTGGGGATTGAGTACAAATAATATAATGACATTTTACTTTCCATTTGAAACCACAAATCACTTTCCTCTTCATATTGACATGTAATTTCTCAATGCCTATTGCTCTAGCTATGCTCTGGGAGTCACTTATTTAATCATTCACTTATTTATTAAACAATAAGGGAGCAGATCCTATGTGCCAGAAATCTGTTCAGAGGCTGGAGATGCAAAGAGAAAAAAAAATACAAGTTTCCTACTTTAAGTTGCAATGAGCAACGATAACCAATGAGAACGGGCTGTTTCCATATAATATGTACAATGATAGAAAGCTAAATATGGCATCATATGAGCTCTAAAACAAGTGTTTGCCTCAGACAGTGGTATCAAACAGATCATCTTATAGGAGGTAATGCTTGAGCTACATCTGAAAGGATGGTTAAGAGTGCTATGAGGGGAAAGCCAACTTACTTAGTATTATTTAATTAACTTTGGGTTGTTTTTTTATATAGGGTGAAATAAGCATACAATTTCATTCTTTTGCATGTGGTTATGCAGTTTTCTCAACACCATTGGTTGAAGAGATTGTCTTTTCACTATTGTGTGCTCTTGATTACTTTGTTGAAGAACAATCAACAGCAAATATGCAGATTTATTTCTATTCTCTCTATTAGGTTCCATTGGTCTATAATTATGTTTTTATGCCAGTACCATACTGTTTTGACAAATATAGCTTGGTAGCTTATCTTGAAATCAAACTGTGTGATACCTCTAACTTTGTTCTTTTTTCTCAAGATTGTTTTGGCTATTTGGAGTCTTTTGTATTTCCATATGAATTCTAGAATTTTTTTTATTTTTGTGAAAAATGCCATTGGAATTTTGATAGAGGTCGCATTGAATCTATAGATCATTTTGAGTAATAAGAACAAGTTAGCAATATTAAAGCTGCTTTGCCTATGGGATAACCATTTTTTGTTTCTTTGCTTCTATAATAATTTTGCTTTCAAAAATATTAATACTTAGCATTTAAGAAAATGAAGGTATACAGGCCCCTAAAAGCATACTATGTGCATAATGGAAATTAGTTTAAGTCCATTATTATTGTAACAAAAAGTACAGGGCACAAGAAGGGAAATACTGACCTAGAAAGTAAAGAGAGACTTATTTGTCAATTGTCACATGTCTTGTTCAGGAAGCTTCATTTTCTTCTACAAGAAGTGGTCATCCTCTAATATATCTTGTGTGTGTGTATATCTTTTATATATATAAAAAATTTTTTTTCTTTTGAGACAGAGTCTTACTCTGTCTCCCAGGCTGAAGTACAGTGGTGCAATCTTGGCTCACTGCAAACCCCACCTCCCGGGTTCAAGCAATTCTCCTGCCTCAGCCTCCCAAGTAGCTGGGACTACGGGAGCATGCCACCATGCCCGGCTAATTTTTTGTATTTTTAGTAGAGACGGAGTTTCATCGTGTTAGCCAGGATGGTCTCAATCTCCTGACCTCATGATCTGCCCGCCTCGGCCTCCCAAAGTGCTGGGATTGTAGGCATGAGCCTTTGTGCCTGGCCTATATAAAACTTTCATAGACATATTGGAAAATGGGCTTGGCTGCCAGAAACAGAAAAAGGGGTGGAGGGGAACAAATGTCCTGAGAAATGGTGTCAATGGCGAACAACTCACTAGTATCCAACCATCCTGTTACAAGCACCCAGCTGATAGCCCACCTATACTCAAGCATCCTGTCTGCAAGCATTCAGCCTAAGCAGCAAAATCTTATAAAATTTTCCTCCAAGCTCTGCCTCTTTCCAGAAAGCCTTCCCTCTGCTGTCCTGCCCATTGCTCTTTTGCAATGTATCTCTGGCTTTCCTCTAAATAAATCTATCTTTCTAAACTCATTTTTGATATGGTCAATTCTTTTACCACCCATGTGCCGGTCTCAGACAGTCACTGACCACAACATTTTGGTGGCCCTTATGGGGACCTCTTACCCTATGAAAAATCTCTCCCTACAGGAACACTCTCCCCACTCCCTTTCTACTTGGGATACTCCATGGACAGTGTCAAGGCACAGAGACAATGAAGGTTTCTGGTCAGGGCTACACGTGGTGAAGCTGAAAAGTGTTCGTGCAGAAGTGCCTTACCACCATCACCCATTCAGGTGAGGAACCTAAGTTCACTTTCCTTTTTCAGCATGCCAGCAGCCAGCCTCTAGTAGCTGTCTTATAATTGACAGTATCTGTCCCATACTACTCTCTGATGTTGCCTGAAGGCTATGAGGTAAACAGTGCTAGCCAACTGGCCCAGAAGGGAGGAAGACTCTCCTTTCGGTCCCCAGTCCCTAGGTGTGGTGCAGTTAGCAGTGGCAGCTCATCTAGGGCAAATCCACCCATGTTTTGGGTGACTTAAACACTCTCTCTCTCTTATTCTAATTCTGCTGTGAAGATATCCAGGCTTCCTGCTTTAGAAGTTCCCACATCAGGTGATTTCAAGTGGCCTCAGAGTCTTCCCATTCCTGTTCCCTCTTTTAAGCTGGTTCCAGTCTTGAGTTCTCCCTTCACCCTTGTTCCTCGTAAATGGACTGGCCATCCAGTGTAAGGCCCCGGCACTGTCAACCCCAGCACCAGGAGATCCTTCAAATAGGTGGGATGCCCCTTAGGAAAGTGCATCTCAGTGTCCCTAAGCAGAAATGAGTGGAACTTTTTTTCTTTTGGGATACCCCTAGAGAAAGTGTGGCTCGTGTCCCCAGCAGACATTAGCCCCAAGTGGTAGGACGTTTTCCAGTCCCACCACGGGAAAAACCCTGTCTATTCCTTCAAACTAATCTCTGGTTTGCATCCTAAAACATTGGGATAAATTTGGCCCCCAGACTCTCAAAAATAAATGCCTAATTGTCCTGTGTAATATGTTTTGGCCTCTGTATAAACTCCTGGATCAATTAACCTGGACTCTGAATGGGACTTTAGATTCTTAACACTCTTTTGCAACTCGATTTGCTGTGTCACAACTCTTCTAAATGGCCTGAAGTTGCTTATGTCCAGGCTTTCATGACTCTCTCTTGGGATCTTGATCTCTAGCAAACCTGGCAAATATTCTTGGCTAAATTCTCTAGCCCCACTGACTCTCCTGACATTCTAAAAGACCCTTCCTTTACCCTCTTCCACTCTCCCAGACTGGCTGACCTGGTTGAGGCTACCCCTTCTCAACCTTCTTCTTTCCCTGACAAATCACCTTTATGTTCAACTATACTTACTCCACCTGCTTTTTCTCCCTCACTTTCCCCCAACATCCCAACTTTGGATGTCATTTTTCAATGCCTCCTCCTTTTATTAGGGACCCTTCTCCCCTTCACATACTAGATCACATGGGGGTCACTTATGATCCCACTTCAGCCCAGTCAAGATTTTGCTGCTCGGAGAAATAGCAAATGGGGATTGAGGAACCATCAGAGTCCATGTTCCTTTCCCAGTGTCCAACCTCTCTCAGATAGAAGCTAAGCTTGGCTTCTTTCAGCAGGATGCTTCCCATTTCATAAAAGAATTCAAAATACTGTTTCCTTTGAACACACTTGGCAGAACATTTATATTATCTTTACCACCAGTTGTATTCATGAAGAAAAGGCCTCCATTTGGTCCCTGGCTCAAGAGTGGCCACAGGAGGTTCTTGCCCACAACCCTCAGGAGTCTGGCCTGGGAAGAACAGCAGTTCCTGATGTTGATCCTAGATAGGGCTACCAGAAGGGAAACACTGGCAGGGAACGTAGTAATTAAATGACTACTTATTTAATTGTAGGCATAAAAAAGGCTGCCATAGGACCAGTCAACTTTGCTAATCTAAAAGAGGTAACACAGGGGTCAAATGAAAACTCAGCTCTACTTCACTCTAGGCTGGCTGAAGCCGTGAGAAAATACCCTAATATGAACCCTCATAGCCCAGAAGGCCCCATTAATTTGACTGTTCATTTTATCAGTGAGGCTTCTTCAGATATTAGGTGCAAATCCCAGAGACTAGACCAAGGACCACAACTCCATTCCCCACTTTACTGGACATGGCTTTCAAGATCTTTAACACCAGAACTGTCAAAACCCTCCCCACCCATCTTCTGGCACTCAGGGACCACCGATTAGCTCCTGTCCACACTGCAAACAACCCAGGCATTGGAAATGGGATTGCCCCTCTCTCCCACACGCAGGAGAGTCATCCCGTAACTAGCAACCTCAATTATGGGCTAATTTGGGAGGATGGCAACAACAAATGCCCCTAACGGTGTTCCTTAACTACGAGGAAGCTAATAAGACTGAGAAGGCAGAAAGAGATAACTGATGGGACCCAGAGGCCATCCAGGCTCCTGTATTAACCATCTCTATGATTGAGCTTTGAGTAACCCTAAATGTGGAAGGGAATAGGACTGAGTTTGTAATCAACATAGGAGCTACTTCTTCAGCCCTAATTAGTTTTTCCGGACCTACGTTTTAGTCTTTGATCCTCCACACCAGCATAGACAGCCAACCACATCAGGGACGCTTCACTTCCCCCTTGTTATGCACGCTGGAGAAACATGTTTTCACTTACTCTTGCCTGGTTCTACCAAGCTGTCCTACCTACCTACTTAGAGGGGATATAATGACAAAACTCCAAACTAGCTTTCAATTCCCCAAATACACTTGCCCAATATTAACATTACTAGCTCCTGCCACCAAAAGTGCCAATCCCCTAAAATCCTTCATTTAACAACAAATTCTAGAGGTATGAGATACCTCCACTTCATGATGTTCTTAGTTTGCAGACCCTGTAAAAATCCATCTTAAGGGCTCTAACATTTTCCCTAGGAAGCCCCAATATCCCTTGAAGCCTGAAGCCCAAATGGACCTACAGCTCCTGATAGAGTTTGGCTATGTCCCCACCCAAATATCAACTTGACTTGTATCTCCCAGAAGTACCGTGTGTTGTAGGAGAGACCCAACATAGGGGGGACCCAGGGGGAGGTAACTGAATCATGGGGGCCAGTCTCCCATACTAGTCTTATGATAGTGAATAAGTCTCACAAGATCTGATGGGTTCATCAGGGGTTTCCACTTTTGCTGCTTCTCTCTTGCTGCCACCATGTAAGAAGTGCCTTTTGCCATCTGCCATGACTGTGAGACCTTCCCCAGCCAGGTGGAACTGTAAGTCCAATTAAACCTCTTTCTTTTGTAAATTGTCCAGTCTTAGGTATGTCTTTATCAGCAGCATGAAAACAGACTAATACAGTAAATTGTTACCAGTAGAGTGGCACATTACTGAAAATGTGGAAGCAACTTTGGAACTGGGTAATAGACAGAGATTGGAAAAGTTTGAAGGGCTCAGAAGAAGATAGGAAAATGTGGGAAAGTTGGGAACTTCCTAGAGACTTGTTGAATGGCTTTGCCCAAAATGCTTATAGTGATATGGACAATAAATCCAGGCTGAGGTAGTCTCAGATGGAGATGAGGAACTTGTTGGGAACTGGAGCAAAAGTGACTCTTGTTATGATTTAGCAAAGAGACTGGTGGCATTTTGCCCCTCCCCTAGAGATCTGTGGAATTATGAAATTGAGAGAGATTATTTAGGGTATCTGGTAGAAGAAATTTCTAAGCAGCAAACATTCAAGAGGTGATCTGGGTACTGTTAAAAGCATTCCATTTTAAAAGGGGAACAGAGCATAAAAGTTCAGAAAATTTGTAGCCTGATGATGCAGTAGAAAAGAAAAACCCATTTTTCTGGGGAGAAATTCAAGCCGGCTGTAGAAATTTGCGTAAGTAGTAAGGAGCCTAATGTTAATCCCCAAGACCATGGGGAAATGTCTCCAGGCCATGTCAGAGAGCTTCACAGCAGCCTCTCCCATCACAGGCCAGGAGGCCCAGGAGGAAAAATTGGTTTCGTGGACCAGGCCCAGGGTCCCTGTGCTATGGGCATCCTAGGAACTTGATGCCCTGTGTCCCAGCTGCTCCAACCATGTCTGAAAGGGGCCAATGTACAGCTTGGGCTGTGGCTTCAAAGGGTGGAAGCCCCAAGCCTTGGGAGCTTCCATGTGGTGTTGAGCCTGCAGGTGCACAGAAACCAAGAATTGAGGTTTGGGAACCTCTGCCTAGATTTCAGAAGATGTATGGAAATGCCTGGTTGCCCAAGAAAAAGTTTGCTGCAGGTAGGGAAACCTCATGGATAACATCTTCTAGTCCAGTGCAAAAGGGAAATGTGGGGTCAAAGCCCCCATGCAGAGTCCGTACTGGTGCACTGCCTAGTGGAGCTGTGAGAAGGGGCCTACCATCCTCCTGAACCCAGAATGTTAGATCCACCAACAGCTTGCACCGTGCACCTGGAAAAGTCACAGACACTCAACATCAGCCCATGAAAGCAGCTGGGAGGCTGTACCCTGCAAAGCTTCAGGGGTGGAGCTGCCCAGGACCATGGAAACCCACCACTTCCGTCAGCATGACCCGGACGCAAGATGGGGAGTCAAAAAACATCATTTGAAACTTTAACATTTGACTTCTCCGCTGGATTTTGGAATTGCATGGGGCCTGTAACTTCTTTGTTTTGGCTAATTTCTCCCATTTGGAATGGCCATATTTACCCAATGCCTGTATCCCCATTGCATCTAGGAAGTAACTAACCTGTTTTTGATTTTACAGGCTTATAGGCAGAAGGGACTTGCCTTGTTTCAGATGAGACTTTGGACTGTGGACTTTGGGTTAATGCTGAATTGAGTTAAGACTTTGGGGAACTGTTGGGAAGGCATGATTGGTTTTGAAATAGGAGGACATGAGATTTGGAGGGGCCAGAGGCAGAATAATATGGTTTGGCTGTGTCCCCACCCAAATCTCAACTTGAATTTTATCTCCCAGAATTCCCACATGTTGTGGGAGGGACCCAGGGGGAGGTAATTGAATCATAGTGGCTGGTCTTTCCCATGCTATTCTCGTGATAGTGAATAAGTCTCATGAGCTCTGATGGGTTTATCAGGGGGTTCTGCTTTTGCTTCTCCCTCATTCTCTCTTGCTGCCACCATGTAAGAAGTGTCTTTCACCCTCTTCCATGATTGTGAGACCTTCCCCAGCCAGGCGGAACTGTAAGTTCAGTTAACATCTTTCTTTTGTAAATTGCCCAGTCGCTGGTATGACTTTATCAGCAGTGTGAAAACGGACTAATACAGCCCCTAATAGAAAAATCAGGCACCACCTCAGCCCAGAATTCAGTACTCATTGCTCTAACTCTAGCCTTACAATTGGGAGCAGGCATGAGGCTTAAAATTTACAGACTCAGCCCATGCTTTCATGTAGTACATGCTCATGATGCTATTTGCTGGAAAAGAGGATTTTTAACAGCCCAAGATACTCTAATTAAACATGCTCCTGAATTTATGGCCCTATTGGAGGCAATTATACTTCCTACACAGGCAGTATCTTTCACTGCAAAGCCTATCAGAAGAACAATGATGAAATCTTCATTAAGAACAACGGGGCTGACAAATAAGTAAAAGTGGCAGCCAGGCTCCCCCTTCAGGCAGTTTTATTTCATACCCCAACTCCCTGTCTCTAACTTACCCTGGTTAAATTTGTTTCTTCCAGAATGCAGCAGTTGCACACCAAGCTTCTAAGGATGCAAGAGTATCAGCCAATGATACCCAGACACCTCCACGATTCTCCTTTAGACTTCGCTGGACGTCAGTTCCTTATGGACATCCTCTTCTCCCTGAGTCCCATCCTCCAGCTATGCCCAACAATTTAAGTACCATAACCCAAGACAATGACTCAGAGCATCCCCTGACAAGCCAACAACCTTAGGAATGGTCAGTTCTATGCCCAGGGTAGCAGAAAGTAGTTGGAAGATGAGACCTCTACCCAAATAGCACAGATTTGTCACTGTTGTTCTGTCAGGAGGGAAATGTGTAGCCCTAAGGAGTTAAAAGAAAATTGAAAAATGGGTTTTGCTGGCAGGAACAGAAACAGGGTAGAGGGGAGCAAATGTTCTAAGAAACAGGGTCAACCTCAAATGGCTCACTAGCATCTAAGCATCCTTTTACAAGCACCTAGCTCACAGCCCACCTGCATGCTGTCTGCAAGTACTCAGCTTAAGCAGCACGACCTTAAAAAATTTTCCTCCAGCCCCTGCCTCTTTGCAGGCAGCTTTCCCTCTGCTGTCTTGCCTACTGCTCTCTTGCAACATATTTTCCCCTTTTCTCGAAACAAATCTGCCTTTCTAAACTCATTACTGTCTTAGTAAATTCTTTTATCACCTATGTGCCGGCCTCAGACACTCAGTGACCACCACAGCATATGCATGTATTATGTATATGTATGTATCTTGTGTATATTTGTATCTTATGTATTTATGACATTATATAATCTTGCATATATACCTAATAAATATACAGTAAGTACTCACTTAGTGTCATCAATGGGTCTTGGAAACTGTGACTTTAAGTGAAGTGTTGTATAATGAAACGAATTTACTACAGGCTGATTGATATAAAGAAGAGTCAAGTTACTCCGGCATATTTCTAGTCAAAAAACATCATGAAACTTCTAAATAAAGGTGAAAGCCTTCTAATATTTAACACTGAAATAAATGGGAGCTATACATATATTTAAGAAAGATAAATAAAAGCAAGTAGGATGATTATTTACCCAATTATTTCAGTTCAGAATTGTGGGTGGCCAGAGCCTAACCAGGCAATTCGAGACACAAGAGAAACCAATCCTGGACAGGACACTATCCCATTGCAGAGTATACTCTCACACACTTCCACATTCTTACATGTGGGGACAATTTAGACACTCGTCCAATTAACTGAATGTGCATATCTTTGGGATGTGGAAGGAAATATAAGTACTTGGGTAATGCCCATGCAAAGATAAGGAGAAGGTTCAAACTTCACGAAGACAGTGGCCACAGCTGAAGACGATATTTTTTATCATAAACATTCTATCTTAATAACGTTGAACAATATGAGGTTGAGGACCTGCTGTATATATTTTATAAATATAAGTATATAAACACACACATGTGCACTTATATATGCACACACAAAAACACGTACACACATACACACTTACAGCTTATAAACCAAAGTCAACATCTAAAATCCTGAATCCTTTCCCAATCAATGCCACTGATTACCAGCAGAGCCTAATATTTTTTTCCTGATGTTAGCTTAGCTAATAATATCTCAATTAATAAGAAAGGAAAGGAAAGAAAGCCATTTTGTAACCAAGAGATTTTTCAAAGTTTTGATAATTTTTCTTTGACTTTCTAAAAGTAAACAGAATAAAATCTGTCTTAACAGTCTCATTACTAAAATGTCTTAATAGCCTCATAAGCCATGTGATGTTCCACATAAGCTGTCTCCAGTTTATTCCCTTTCATCCTGCCCTGCATTCACTAACCTCAGAAATGCTTGACATAAACGAAATTCAACCCCTACTAAGAGTTTTTGCAGCCCCATTTCCTTCATTTTCCACCCTATCCCTCCAATTTTAAGGCTGTCCCCAAATTTTAATATTACCTTCTCATGGAGATCTTTTGCAATCACCTTGGTAAAAGCAATACACCCAGGGATTTCCTATAACACTATACTATTTGACTTACACAACATTAATTAAGATGTAAAGTAATCTTAATTCACGTATCTATCATCTGTATTGACAATAAAGGATAACTGAGTAATTTTTTTAAGAATGGTCTCTTTATATTTTGTTCATTATTCTATCCCAAGTCTCTAAAATAAGGTCTACCACTTAAGAGGATTTGATAAACATAATTGACCAACTTCATACCATTTTGGTTTCCTAGCAGAGAAACTGAGAGGATGGAAAGGTGAAAAAGAGAGCAATGTTGGAAAGTGTGCTGCCGTTCTGAGAGTTCAAAGCTAATTCTATTTTTATGCAATCACCGTATCTATTTTATATCTTGGATATCTCTGATGTTTTGTTGATTTTATACATTAATGATATCATTTGTTTATCATATGCCATATATATTTTAAGTGTTTTCCCAGGTTGCTATTTTTTAAATGTATGTTTATGGTACTGTTTGTTTTATAAGGGTTTTTTAAATTTTTGTCTTACTCGTGTCTTTAATTCATTTTAGGCAAGTTTAGTGATATATAATTTATAAGCCATTAATTTCACCTAATATGTGTGACTTAATAATTTTTAGTAAATATATTGAACTCTGCAACCATCAGCACAGCAAGTTTTAGAACACTTCGCTCATCCCCAAAATGTTCCATTGTACCCACTTGCAAACAATACTTTCCCACTCTCAGTTCCATGGTGGGAATGTAAACTACTTCAGCCACCATGGAAAGCAGTTCAGATATTTCTCAAAGAACTTAAAACATAACTACTATTCAACCTAGCAATCCCATTACTGGTTATATATCAAAAAGAGAACAAATTGTTCTACCAAAAAGATACATGCACTCATATCGCAGCACCATTCACAAGAGCAAAGACATGGAATCAACCTAGGTGCCCATCGATGGTGGAATAGATAAAGAAAATGTACATATACACCATGGAATACCACACAACCACAAAAAAGATGAAATTATGTCCTTTGCAACAACATGGATGCAACTGGAAGCCATTATTCTAAGCAAAGTAATGCAGAAACAGAAAATCAAATACTGCATGTTCTCAATTATAAGTGGGAGCTAAACATTGAGTACTGAGGAACATAAAGATGGCAACGACAAAAACTGGAGACATTGAGTACTAAGAACGTAAAGACGGCAACAACAAAAACTGGAGACGGGGAAGGGAAGGAGTGGGGCAAAATCTGAAAATCGAACTGTTGGGTACTATGCTCAGTACCTGGGTGGCGGGATCATTTGTACCCTAGATTGTTATACAAGTAATAAAACTGTATATGTACTCCCTGAATTGAAAATAAAATGGAAAAAAATAAGATGAACAAACACTAAAGATATATTTTAAAAAATAAATCAAATCATGGAATCAATCTAGGTGCCCATCAGTGGTGGATTGGATAAAGAAAATGTACAAATACATCATGGAATACCACACAAACACAAAAAGAGAATGAAACTAGATTCTTTGCAACAACATGAGTGTCTGATTTGTGCCCCAAGTTATTTCCCATTATTGGGCATACTATGTAAATTCCATGTAGGATCCTCCACTTACACAATATTTTGGCATTCATCCATGAAGTAACCATGTACCAGTATTTCATTTGTTTTTAATGCCCAATAGTATTCCATTGTATACATACATACAAAACATTGTTTTTATTCTCATCTCGAGTTGAGAGAGTGTATTCAATTTGTGGGTATAATGAAAAAAATGCTGCTATGAAAATTCACATATACATCTGTGTTCTTAGGTATATACCTCATTTCTCCCTTTTAAAAAAAAATTTGAGTTCTTGGATACATGTGCAGAATGTGTAGGTTTGTTACATAGGTAAACATGTGCCATAGTGGTTGGCTGCACCTATCAAGCCATCACCTAGGTATTCAGCCCTACGTGCATTAGCTATTTGTCCTGATGCTCTTCCTCCCCTAACTCCCCTAGACAGGTCCCAATGTGTGTTTTTCTTCTCCCTGTGTCCATGTGTTCTCATTGTTCACCTCCCACTTATGAGTGAGAACATGCGGTGCTTGGTTTTCTGTTCCTGTGTTAGTTTGCTGAGGATGATAGCTTCCAGGCTCATCTACGTCCCTGCAAAGGACATGATCTCATTCCTTTTTATAGCTGCATAGTATTCCATCGTGTATGTGTACCACATTTTCTTCATCTAGTCTATCATTGATGGGCATTTGGGTTGGTTCCATATCTTTGCTATTGTGAATAGTGCTGCAATAAAGATACATGTGCATATATCTTTATAATAGAATGATTTATATTCCTTTGGGTATATACCCAGTAATGGGATTGCTGGGTCAAATGGTATTGCTGGGTTGAATGGTGTTTCTGGTGCTAGATCCTTGAGGAATTGCCACACTGTCTTCCAGAATGGTTAAACTAATTTATATTCCCACCAACAGTGTATAAGGCATTCTATTTCTCCATATCCTCGTCAGTATCTGTTGTTTCTTGACTTTTTAATAATTGCCATTCTGGCTGGTGTGAGATGGTATCTTACTGTGATTTTGATTTTAATTTTTCTAATGATCAGTGATGTTGAGCTTTTTTTCATATGTTTGTTGGCCACGTAAATGTCTTCTTTTGAGAAATGTCTGTTCATGTCCTTTGCCCACTTTTTGATGGGGTTATTTGTTTTTTCTTGTAAATTTGCTTAAATTTCTTGTAAATTCTGGATATTAGACCTTTGTCAGAAGGGTAGATTGCAAAAATTTTCTCCCATTCTCTAGGTTGCCTGTTTGCTCTAATTAGACCAATGGAACAGAATAGAGACCTCAAAAAAAAATAGACTTTACCTTTAGACCAGTTTTAGGTTCACAGCAAACTTGAGCAATGAAGGTAAAGTGATTTCCCATATAGCCACTGCCCCCCAACATACATAGCCCTTCCCCATTATCAATATTTCCCACCAGAGTGGTACAGTGTTTACAATTGATGAAACTGTATTGATAACATCATTATCATCTAATATCTCTAGGTTAGGGTTAATTCTTGGGTGTTGTATATTCTAGAAGTTTGGGGTAAATTTATATGTATCTACCAACATAGTATCATATAGAATATTCTTGATAGCCTAAAAATTCTCTTTGCTCTGCTTACTTATCCCTCTCTCCTCCTAACCTCTGGATCTTTTTGCTCTCTTAATCATTTTCTCTTTTCTAGAATGTCATATAGTTGGAATCATACCATATGCATATTTTCAGATCAACTTCTTTCACTTATTAATATGCATTTAAGTTTCCTCTATGTCTTTTCATGGCTTGGTAGCTCATTTCATTTTAGCACTGAATAATATTCTATTGCCTGGATGTGTACCAGCTCATTTAGCCATTCTCCTGCTGAAAGAACTTGGTTGCTCCCAAGTTTTGGCAATTAGGAATAAAGTGTTATAAATATCCATGTTCAGGATTTTTGTGAACATAAATTTTTAACTCATTTGGGTAAATGACAAGGTGTGAAATTGCCAGCTTGTATGGTAGAATATGTTTACTTTTGGAAGAAAATGCCAAACTGTCTTCCAAAGTGGCTATATGATTTTGCGTTTCTACCAAAAATGAATGAGAATGTCTGTTGCTCAAAATTCTCATCAGCATTTGATGTTTTCAGTGTTTTAGGTTTTGGCCATTCTAATAGGTGTTATTGGTGTCTCATTGCTATTTTAATTAATTCACATACATTTTTAATTCAGTGTGCCAATCTAAATAACAACCAGAACAACAAGCAAAACCTGCTTTGGTTTTTAATAAATAATGTGCTGAATATAGTAATCAATTAGGAAGAACTGTTAACAATATTGAATTTTCCCATCTGTGAATATAGAATGTCCCTCCATTAATTTAAATCATCTTTAATTTTTCTCAGCAATATTTTGTAGTTTTCAGTGCCAAGTCTTGCACTCCTTTTGTTAAGTTTGTTTCTAAATGTTTCATTATTTTTTACGTGATTTGGGGATTTCAAATTGTTAATTGCTAGTATTTAAATGATAACTTATTTTAATGTGTTAGCCTTGTGTCCTGCAACTTTGGTACTCTCATATATTTGTTCCAGTAGTTGTGTGTGTGTGTCTGTGTGTGTGTTTGTGTGTGTGTGAATATGAATACATATTTTATGTTAGTGAGGACAGATTAACATCTTCCATTTTAAATGTTATGTCTTTGATTTCTTTTTTATTTGATGTTTCTTTCTTCCTTTAAACGATAGAACCATTATCATAATTGTATTAGATAGAAACTCTACAGAAACACAACCTTTAGAAGTAAGGAGGAGAATTATGGATAAATAGAGAAAGCATAGGGCTTTTATATATTTAATCATATTTATTATCTGAGATTTAAAACAGTATAAAGAATAAAGATTATGCCTCATAAAAGTAAGGAGTGACTATTAGATTTAGTTCCTGACAAAAGATATTAGGGATGAAATTAGAATATTTGTTAGAATTGAATTCATACAGCATGAGGGATACCTTGAATCACTGTGGCAAAAAATAATTAAAATGGAAATACACGACATTATCATTTTGTCATTTTAACCCATATTAGATTTAAAACAAAAAATCGTTTAAAT
This sequence comes from Homo sapiens, assembly GCF_000001405.40. Taxonomy (NCBI): domain Eukaryota; kingdom Metazoa; phylum Chordata; class Mammalia; order Primates; family Hominidae; genus Homo; species Homo sapiens. The sequence continues at coordinate 31,113,403 of NC_000009.12, read as the reverse complement.
GAGCTCTTTTACAGATGTTGATAAAGAATTTACAAATAAATATATACTCAATAAAACATTTCCAGGTGTTGTTACATTTCTAATTTCATCCCCTATTATATACAAGTAGGTAGATAACATTCAATTAAATAGAAGGGGCCAAAGAGGGCACCTGTGCTCAGTAAAGGGATCCCACTCTCTTCAGGTTTCCATGGAGCCTGAAAATGAGGGTGAGTATTCTGAGCTTTACTGCTTGCACAGATTGCTGCTGGCATAGTCAGTAGAAAGAGATATAATGATGGCACTTCGAGAGGTTGGTAATGATCCTAACACCAGCAAGCAGAGCAGCATCCAGGACATAAGGGTGGAAATTGCTGTTCCCATTTGATTGCCACCTGTATACTCATAAAATCAGAGATTAATTTTGAAAATTCTTCACACACACAAAAATCAAATAATGTGAAGAAACAACTTAATCTAGATATTTTTCAAAAACAAAGTACTAATCAAAGGACTTCTTATCCATAATAATCCCATTTTGCAAAATACATTTATTGCATCTTTATGATGATTTTTGCCTTGGACATAAGTATAATATCTATAGCAGAATATTAATGCAAACCATGATAAGTTGAAATTTGTGATAATTTAGAGAATGATATCAAGCAACTGCTTTAAAATCATAGACTTCAGTAACTAATGGGAAACAGATGTTTAGCTGGGCAAAAAATAGAAATTCTTATTCCAGATTTTATTTTGGCCTCATCTTTTTCAAAGGTTAAGTGTTTTGGAATTGAGTTGGAAAGGGCTAAGTAAATCAAGCAAATAGGCTATTAAGAGGGGAAAGGATCAGCTCAATAAGCCCCTAGTGAACAAAGGTGGCTTAGAAGACTGTAATCTTATTCATTGCACCCAACTCTGTCAGCATTGACACTTTTCCCAGGCACATAAGACTGTTGACAGGAAGATAGGAAGCACAAATGTATTTAGCCAGTATGATAATCACAGCATTTCTTTAAGGTAAGTGTTAGTATTTTGATTTTAGCAAATCAAGAAAATGAGGGTAAGAAGACTAAAATAGCGCGACCTTACATAATTAGAGGAAAAAATGAATGGAGGAAGGCCAGAAGGAAGACAGGTAGGAAGACAAAAAAAGAAAATGATGCTGGCATTTATGAATAATGAACATATTCAATACCCAAGTGATTCAATGTTGTAATCCCATTGTACCAATAAAAGAAAGAGAAGAGGGTAAGGAGTAGGAAGGAAAGAAGGAAGGAAGGAGGATGGAAAATATCCATAGTAAGTAATTTGTGATAGTTGCCCCACTTGTAAACATTGCTGACCTGAGATTTTCAATTCAAACATTCCAATTCCAAAATATACATTCAATCTAAAACACCAAGCTCTGGGCTCAGTGAAGTCCTTCCTGAACTGTATTTTAAAAAATCGTTTAAGGTTTAGTTTTCAGCAATACCACAAAAATAGTTGGCCTTTTTAACCAATTCCTATTACTGCATTCATATTCCCTTCTACATTAATCATATTTAATGGTAGCCATGTAATACATATGCATTTTAACTTAAAAAAATTTCACAATCATATTTTTTTCTTACTGAGAAACTGAGGATTTTTACAAAAATAGATGACCCATGCAAACCTTTCACAGCATGTCTACCGTATTATTTGTATGAGAAGCAACCTACGTGAAATGACAGACAGATCCTGCTGTGGAAAATTAAAAGATGAGAGCTTTTTGTTTCTACTTATGAGTGCTTTAATTCTATATAAAAATAATCCCCTCCCTTTCTCCAAGACACATGTATTTTCTTTGTGAATAGCTTCATTTTCCCACATCCAGAAATTTGATTTTCTCTTTGCAAGATGCTTTTCCTAGCATGATAATGACAATATTTAGGGCTGGCATGTTACGCTGGCCTAGGTTTCTAAATGTCCAGGAACTAAGCTTCAGAATGAGACTGTCAGGAAATATCAGACTAACAGATTCAAAAGGGGCTGATTTATTGACTACTTTGTGAAGGTGCTGACAAATTAGATAAGTGAAATTTGCCTATATTGAGTTGTAAGTAGTCATTCTGCTGTGCTCCAAATACACCTAATTTGAAAAGAAGTATGAGTTACCTGAATGAAGAGGCTCCATAAGAAAGTATGCACTGTCTTTAGTGCAAAGTAGAATGGATTTTCCTATGTGCCCATGCATAGTCCTAGATTTAAGAATTCTAGGGCTAGTTATTTCTTAAAGAAACAGTCATGAAGTATAACTTCATGTGTTAATTTAGATGATACTGAAGAGTATTTATTAATTCTAATTCATCTTTATCACTAATTTGCAAATGAATTTTCCATGTTTACATAATTAGCCTAAGTTTACATACCACTGTTTCTTTATTAAGCTATAATTTATACCCTGTTACTAACCCATTGTAATTTGCTGGAGAAAAGCTCAATCAGAATTTATATTGCTGGGTTACATTGACAACCTGAACACTAATCAGTTTTTGGAACTTAGTCACTCTGCTTCTCATTTCAGTTGCAAGGAAAAACTGTTACTTATTAGAAGTATTTATCAATTAGTGATGCAATTTAAATTGTATACAAGAGTAGTAGTGCTCAAATTTTCTTCTAAGAACAGTTTTAGAGTCTTAAAAATTATTGAGAGCCCAAGATCTTTGGCTTGTATGTGATATATTTGTTATTTATTATAGTCAATATTAAAACTGGAAAATTAAATACATATATATTTAATTGTTAACTTTGTATGACAAAGATAAACTCATTCATTTTAACAAAATAAACAATTTTATAAAATATATTTTCACACTAAAAATGGTAAACAGAGTGGCCTTTTTAAAATATAACTTTATTTTATTCAATTATCATTTCCTCTTCTGTATTCAATCTATTGCAGTAATATATGTTATGTAGTTCTTGGGGAATTTTGCTCTATAGTGAAAGAGTGATAGTAAAAACAAAAAATAATATTTTAGTATAATTATGAAAATGGCACTAATTTCATTGACCCCTTGATAGGGTTCCAAGTCACACTTTGAAGACAACTGGGCTGTAGTATCATCAAACAGAACTTATAATCTACTAATATAAAACATTCACAAGTTTTGTTTATAATGTTGAAAAGCTAGTACTAAAATAAAGAAAAATAACAGAAAGTTTAAATATTGTGTTCATTATTAACTTCATTTTAGCCTACTAGAAAACCCTCTGAATTAAAGCCCCAACACCAATCCTGGACAAAGACTGAAAGATCTCTTTGCTGAGCAAAAATTCAAGAAGACGATCTAGATAGAGTATTTTTTTGACATTGGCTAAAGAAGAAATTGTAAAATCAAATATGGTTGTGCGCATGGCTTAACAAAGGCACATTCTGAGAAATTCATCATTAGGTGATTTAATTATTGTGCCGTATCACAGTGTGTACTTACACAAACCTAGATGGCATAGCCCACTACACATCTAGGCTATATGGTACAGCCTATTGCTCCTAGGCTACACACACACCTATGCAGCATGTTACTGTACTGGATGCTATAGGCAATTGTAACACAATAGTATATATTTGTGTATCTATACATATCAAAACATAAAAAGGGAATACTAAAAATATGGTATTAAATTAAAAAAATAGGATATTAAAGATAAAAAATGGTACAACTATACCGGGCACTTCCCATGAATGGAGCTTGCAGGACTGGAAGTTGTTCTGGGTGTCAGTGAGGGAGCAGTGAGTGAATGTGAAGGCCTAGGTTATTACTACACACTACAGTAGACTTTATAAACACTGGACACTAGCCTACACTAAATTTATGAAAAATATAGTAACTGTGCAATGATTTTATGACAGCCACATTGTCATTAGACAATGGGAATGTTTCAGCTCCATTTTAGTATGTACGGTCCATCACTGATCACAACATCATTGTGTGGCATATGACTGTAAATACATTTTTCTAAGAAAAAACTAGAGTGTCCAGTGACAAGGCAAAGACTGATATTCTGACTAGAAACCACTGATAATTTACATCAAAGAGGCTGAACAAAGGATAGTCAAGGCATGAGACATCAGGGGTATACTGGAGGGATGCTTATTTTGAGCTAGTGTGCATAGGAGCATTACTCCAAGGCTAAGAGCCTGGAAGGTTTCCCAAAAGTTTTAGAACAGCCTCACAGATCTTTCTGTCTTGACACTTGAGTAAGAAGATTGATGAGATTAGCATAAGGAATTATTTAACATAATTATTTAGAAATGTCTAGAATTATATTATTGTTTTTAAGTTTTTGAAAGCAGCCTAACTAATGATTACATTAACACCACAGCTTCAAAAATAAAAACTGGAATTTTATGCCAATTGGCATGACATTCATCACTAAAAGAATATTCAGAGAAATGAAGAAAATTTTACCTTGTTACATGTAACAATCAGCCAGAAGAATCTGCTTGCTCTGTTTTTACCCATCTGTTCCAATTCCAAATAAAATTACTCATTAAATTCCAGAATAAGATTATTATGTTTTAATACCAGAAAGTTTGCTTTTGCTATAAGGTGCCATTTGTATACAGAACAAGATTTTGGCTAATGTAATATTTGTCACAAATACCACAAAAACAAATGGTCGGATTCCTCAGATTGCAAAAAGCTTCTAAGAGTAATTCAGAAGAGATAGCGTTCCTACAAAGCATTAGAATGTAGAAATAATTGGACAGACACCCAGTGATTTTCTTTGTTCATTTATTTCACAGTAAGAAATGTGACTGGCATTACCATATTACTGAGAATGCCTATACTACTTTGAGAGTGCTTAACACCCCACTAGAGTTGTTATCAAGTTGCAAACAAGGATAGATCCAAGAAGATTAATTATCATCTGTAAGAATAAGCATTAACAAAGGACCTACAGTGTGTAGGTTCATTGATTTAGTAACTAGTTATAACAGATATAAACCTACCTTGACATGATCACCACCTGCTGCTTGTAGGTTAAACTGGGTATGCTTAATGCTTGGGAGGCCTATGACCATAGTCAATGTATTCTGACTATACTTTGACTATGATCAAGATATTTTTTATGGAAAATATGATCAAGATATCTCCTTCTGTGATGGGATAGATCCTTAAGGTACCCTTATTTTTAAAGCATAATTAAATTCTGTTAACATGTTAAGGAAAACATTTCTGAGAAACTGCTTTAGGCTTTGAGAATGAGAAAAACTGGATCAGAAGAAGGGGATATGATGTAGGATTGGGTAGGAATGGTGTGAGTATTGTGATATGGGCAGTGGAGACAATGTAGGCAAAAGCACAATGGAGAAAATGAGCAAAGCAATTGAGAAATAAAATAAAAAGAGCTGCTGACTAACACAGAGAAGTAATATGTGTGTGCTGGTAAGGAGCATGAAACAAGAAATAAATTTGTATTCGCAAAGAAGAACCTAAATAGAGAAATGTTTAAATCTCCACAGAGAATAATCTAAATTGAGCTTAACCATTATACATTTCTGATCAGAAAGCAGTATTTTAAGAAAATTTTGGAGTGCTGAGTGCACAGGAGACTGGGAGAAATTAAAAAAAAGCAATCAATCACTTAAATCAGTTATCTCATAAAATACTTTACATTCCCATACAGTGTGTATTAAAATTCATTAATGGAGAAATAAATTTATTTAAATTTATTTTCTTCTCATACTTTGATTATTTCCTTTTATTTAGATTGTGTGTTACAAACTAGTTGATTAGTACATGTTTACATTTTTAAAATAAATACACATATGTAAAATGGATGATTAGTGAAATATTTAATAATAGTGATATAGGATAAAATAGATGTTAGATGACATTAGGATTAAGCCAGCCTAATATGGTAGAATTGATATTAAATTAGGAAGCCTAAAAATAAAATCGGGAGGATGGAAAGACCAAATTTGACAAACATCATAGAGGAAAGTACAGAAGAATTTAGTGACACATGGAGAATGGGTAAGAAGGGTGATACAGTGAAAACTAATACTAAACATTTATGCCTGCAGAACTGAGATCATGATGGTGTTTACCAAAATTTAGGTATCTGAGGGTTAATTCTAACTGCAAATAGTGGTCAGCTTGATTTAGAGTTTTATTGTTTTTCATTGTATTTATTGTCAAATGTGTGATAAACACCTTACTTTTTGTTTTTATTTCATATATAGATAGAAAATGTTATGTGCTAAATAGTACTGAAAATACAGAAAAAGAAAAAAGGGTCTCTGAACCAATAGGAAACTCAAAATATTGGGTGAATACATGTATAAGCGTATATATTTGCCATACAACCCGTTTAGTGTTATAAATTGTTGCCTGCATAAATTCCTATAGCCACATGATGTCAGAGCTATTGAATCTGCCTGAGAGGACATCAGAGAAGAGCTGGTATTTGTACACAATAATTCAAATCCTTCATCTATTTCATCTATTCGTTATTTTGGATATTTATTACTTTTGACAAAACAATTAAAAAGAATAATTGCTACCTGCCTCAAGAAAATAAAACAGTTTTCTTTTTCTTTTTTTTGAGATAGAGTTTCACTCTGTCATCCAGGCTGGAGTGCAGTGGCATAATCTCAGCTCACTGCTGCAACCTCTGCCTCCCATGTTCACATGATTCTCCTGCCTCAGCCTCCCAAGTAGCTGGGATTACAGGCGTGCACCACCACACCTGGCTAATTTTTGTACGTTTAGTAGAAATGGGGTTTCACCATATTGGCAAGGCTGGTCTGGAACTCTTGACTTTGTGATCCACCCACCTCGGCCTCTCAAAGTGCTGGGATTACAGGCATGAGCCATTGCACCCAGCCTAAAATACTGTTTTCTATCATTATAATATTTAATATTAAACTATTCATTTTTCCTGTAATAACTGTGGGTTGTGATCTTGAAAATAATAGGTGATTAAAAATGATATTGTACAGGTACTTGATACTGTTTATAGATAAGCATGATCAACTAATTAGGTGATGTTAACAAGCCCCACTATAATAATACACAGAAAAAAAAAAACTATAACCTTCAAAGGCAAGTTGCAACATTTTATCAGAGCTTTGCAATGTATTTATAGCTGTTAGTAGTAGCAATAAAATATCAAACACTACCATCAAATGATTCTTGTCACCTTTTATAACATTAATGCCATCTTCATATGTCATTTTTGGATTTATTTAAGAAACCTAGGTGTTAAGTTTTTCTCTTGCACTCTCTCTCTCCAGCTCCTCTATATATAGAAAAAAAATTGAAAAAAATTAAATCTCATAAAGGGAGCCAGGCATTTTATGAACCTTTCATTACTAATATTATAATGGTTTAATTTGCATTTTATTTAGTGTTAATTCTAATAAATGAATTTTCATAATTTTAGAGAAAAATATGATGCATAATGAAATAATAAAAGTTTAAATGGCAGTGGAGATGCATGCTTAACTTCTCCTGCTATTCTTTTAGGTGTTGGAGTAGACATATGGTATAGAAATTTTAAGTTTCAGGCTGGGCGCTGTGGCTCACACCTATAAATCCCAGCACTTTGGGAGGCCAAGGTGAGGGTGGATCACCTGAGCTCAGGAGTTCGAGACCAGCCTGACCAACATGGTGAAACCTCGTCTCTGCTAAAAATACAAAAATAGCTGGGCGTGGTGGTGGGCATCTGTAATCTCAGCTACTTGGGAGGCTGAGGCAGGAGAATCGCTTGAACCCGGGAGGTTGCAGTGAGCGGAGATCGCATCATTGCATTCCAGCCTGGATGACAGAGCATGACTCTGTCTCAAAAAAAAAAGAAATTTGAAGTTTCAAATAGGTATTTCTAAGTCAGTGGAAGACATATTAACATGCTAAAGACACTAAGTTAAATTATAAGAATGTGCATGATTATACAAGTCTTTATACAGTTTTAAGAGCTATGCAGGCACTCAAATATTATCCATATATCATTTTCTATCATTTGAGGCGATTTTTTTCCTTTGTATGCACAGCTAAATATACATCAACTTTGTGATCTTACGATTAGCCACATATTATTGGAAATCAAAACTAAAGTTCCATGTTTGGCTACATCTTTCTGATGTTTTTCTCCTAAACATCCAAATACTTCTATTATTTAACTAAAAATTTGATCTTAGATTAAAGATGCAAAGGCAGGTGTAATAGCAAATACTCAAGATTTATTTAGGTACATTTGTGGGTGGAGATTAATCATGAGTTAATGACACAAATGAAGAATTTTATCCAAAGATACCATCATAAACAACCTAATTAAAGGTGTCATATGTTTGCTCTGATGAACTGCTAGTTGTGTACTGGAGAGTCCTTAAGGAAAATTATGAGACAAATTGTGAGTGCAATAGCAAAGGGTCCAGAACTGACAGAGATGTCTTCCATAGATGGGTTTGGGCTAGTGCTAGCATGGATACCAATTTGCCACTTTGGATGCAATGGGTATCTATTAACTTTGATCGTCAATATTAAAGAAATCTTCCCCCAGTAAACAGCATAGAAATTCTTCTCTGGTCACCACATAATCCTCTAATTTTAAATCATAAATTTCATGTACAGTTAATTCTGCTTCCAAACTCCAGGAAAAGACAAGAGCTATGGGCTTAATGAAACAAACAAACAAAAATTATTTTCTCCAGCACTAGGGATTGGATTCAGATATGAGCATTATGACCTATTCAATGACAAGAAGAACTACCTCGATTTTAGCTGGATCTTTTAAAAGAGAAGCTTATTATCTTTTGGGGGAAAGTGAACTCGTTGGAATATTCACTATAGTCTATAGTTGCAAAAAAATCATCACATAGAATCCTAGACTAAAGCCATGAGCTAAAATGACTGAAATAGAATAAAACAAAGTCCTAATTTTATAAATTAGAATAACCCAAATCTGAAGCTTAGATACACATAAAAATCTGTCATTTCAGTAAATATTTGTGTGTGTGTGTGTGTGTGTAGGGCAGTTTGAGTTGGATTTTTCCAGTTACTTACCAAGGAGAGTCAATATAAGTAACATGCTCCAACTGCTTGGTCACGATCAATGCCACTACTAATGTCAGTACCAGAATGTGTGTTCATTACACACCTGGTAGCTCTAACGGTGGCCCGCATATGTATCAGATTATGGCCAAAGTTCAACATGTGGCAGATTCACAATTAAATGAGCATAGAGGTGACATCTTTTTGTTTAGGAGAAGTGAATATCTTTTTGTATTAAGAGAGGGTGCTAATTAAGGGGCAGATACACACACAACTCAGCATATTCATGTCCAAAGAGGCAACTGCTATAAGAAGCAGCTGGGTCAAGTTTTGTCTAAGAAGTTGTCTGACTTGGCTTCCATCCAAAACCACAGATATCCTCAAAGTGCCTGTATGCAAAATGCAAATATTCTGGAATGTTAACAGCTAGTAATCTATTTTCTTCCTAGCAGGAAATAAGTTAACAACTAACAGAGAGGCAGTTGGAATAAGTACTGAATTGGAGGAGTGAAGGAATACAAATGTGTGACTTGTCTGGGTGGGAGGGAGTGTGAGGGCAGAAGTTTGTGTTGACAGAATGTGGAAAGATGTACACTGTAAAGTTATTTTCACTACTGTGAAATACTGTGTCATATTTATTTTATTTTCACTACTGTGGAGGTTTGATAAGCATGCCCTAAAGTTCCAGTTCTCAATTTTTATAAAACATGCCATTAGAATATATGAGTATAATGAACAATATTATGGAAAATTTGTTTATGAGTATACACATGTATGTGGAGGTGTGAATTTTTCACTGCAGATTTAAAACAAAGAAATGAATACATATCCTTTTTCACTTAAAGTTTTCTTCCTCATACTCAACTGCATAAGGTATGCACAGAAAAGCATTTCTGTGTGTATGTGTGTGTGTTCGGCTATGTATGCACGTGAATGTGTCTGTGTTTAGAGTGAGAAGAATTTGACAAGTTGTGTGTGTTGGGGGAAGGAGTAGTGGTGACAGAGGATATAACCCAGATAAAATATTTGGGCATTTGAAGTTTGAGGTCTATCAAAGGGTATAAATTAGATTGTCCAACAGGTAGAAGAGCACAGACCTTGTAATTTTTAAGGATTACAGAGATGTGTAGGGGTGTACTTTTTAACAGGAAGTGAATTTGGGTATTGGATGGATTCTTTGGAGATAGACAAGGTAGATCAAAGTTTGTAATTTCTATTGATGGTGCATAACTGAATAATATTGAGTTCCCAGAAGTAGACAGGTGCTTAAATGAGAATGGTTGTGTGTGTACCTATGGAAACTAGATAGTACGTACTGAGACTTTACAGTGGAGGAGAAGCTACTCAAGGCTAAATTTATACAAAAGTTCTCTATTGTGAAGAAAATAATCATAAGCCCTCTGCCCTGAAGTCAAAGGTAACACTAAATACCCGGATAACTCAAATACAGGGAATATATCTGCACTTAATGCTTATCAAATTCTGATCCACACATTGGTGACTAAATAAAAATGAGGACTTCCACCTCAGAAGTATCAGGGCACTTTTCAAAGAAATTCCTCAAGACATGACAGTAGAAAGGAACTCTTTTCAGGAAAAGAGAACTTCTACTACCACACACTTAACTTTTTTCCACATTATGGGGTATAATAACCAGTTTCCATGAACACTGGGAAGTCGAATTCGAGCTGTGTGCACCTTCCCTTCCATGTCTTCTTTTCTCAAACAGAACAACAGTAAACAGAAATATCTCCCATACAAAATTTAGCCTTCAATCTGTAATTCCACATTTTTTTCTTTGTAAATTGAAAAGATGCCTTTTTTAAAATCAAAGTTCCATTTTCCATCCCCATGATTTTGATTTCAGGAAGTTTTGTGAGTTTTGGAGTCTGCATTTTTTTCTTACTTTTATTTTATTTTATTATTATTATTATTATACTTTAAGTCCTGGGATAAATGTGCAGAACGTGCAGTTTTGTTACATAGGTAACATGTGCCATGGTGGTTTGCTGCACTCATCAACTCGTCATCTACATTAGATCCTTCTTCTAATGCTATCCCTCCCCTTACCCTCGATCCCTGAACAGGCCCCCATGTGTGATGTTCCCCTCCCTGTGCCCATATGTTCTCATTGTTCAGTTCCCACTTATGAGTGTTTGGTTTTCTGTTTCTGTGTTAGTTTGCTGAGAATGACGGTTTCCAGCTTCATCCATGTCCCTGCAAAGGACATGAACTCATTCTATTTTATGGCTGCATAGCATTCCATGGTGTATATGTGCCACATTTTTTTTATCCAGTCTAACATTGATAGGCACTTGGGTTGGCTCCAAGTCTTTGCTATTGTGAATAGTGCTGCAATAAACATACATGTGCATGTGTCTTTACAGAATGATTTATGATCCTTTGGGTATATACCCAGTAATAGGATTGCTGGGTCAAACGGTATTGCTAGTTCTAGATCCTTGAGGAATTGCCACACTGTCTTCCACAATGGTTGAACTAATTTACACTCCCACCAACAGTGTAAAGCGTTCCCCACATCCTCTCCAGCAACCGTTGTTTCCTGACTTTTTAATGATCCCCATTCTAACTGGCATGAGACGGTATTTCACAAGTAATGGGGAAATGACTCCCTATATAATAAATGGTGTCGGAAAACTGGCTAGTCATATGCAGAAAACTGAAACTGGACCCCTTCCTTACCTCTTATATAAAAATTAACTCAAGATGGATTAAAGATTTAAACATAGGACCTAAAACCATAAAAACCCCAGAAGAAAACCTCGGCAATACCATTCAGGACATAGGCATGGGCAAAGACTGCATGACTAAAACACCAAAAGCAACTGCAAAAAAAGCGAAAATTGACAAATGACATCTAATTAAACTAAAGACCTTCTGCACTGGAAAAGAAACTATTATCAGAGTGAACAGGCAACCAATAGAATGGGAGAAAATTTTTGCCATCTATCCATCTGACAAGGGCTAACATCCAAAATCTACAAGGGACTTAAACAAATTTACAAGAAAAAACCAAACAACCCCATCAAAAGATGGGTGAAGGATATGAACAGACACTTTTCAAAAGAAGACACTTATGTGGCCAACAAACATATGGAAGTCTGCATTTTTGACAAAGTTCTCTGGTGATTTGGTGAACAGATAGGTTTAGACAGGCTGACTTTAAAACATGGATTAGTAAAGAAAACAAAGATAAAACATAGACTCTCAGTTAACAGATGAATTAGAAATGAAGTAGAATATAAAGCACTTCTTATTTGAAGAAGTCAAGATAAATGGAAACTTTTTAGATGTAGAATTGCACACAGTTTTTACAATTTTGTTGTTAAAAAAACATGATTCATCATGTTGGAATTCATTTCAATTTATTAACATGCCTAGAAATACATTTTTAAAAAGTTCTGTTCTCACTTTCCCAATTCTCTGTTTCACTTCCCCAATTTTTATAAATTCCAGTCAAAAAATCACAATAGGTAAAAGAATAATTGGATTAACTTTTGATAAATATATATCAACTCTCCATTTGAATTTAGAATTCATTCCATCTGTTTGATGCTTTATATCACAGTTAAAAAGACAACATAATTTTAATTTGTATGTTTCTGAGAGTATCACTGGGCTTGTTTTCTGTTTGAATTTGTTGATGCTGTTGTTGTTCCATTAAGTTAGGACCTACCATCCTACAGGCTCTGCTTTGGGTATTACTGAAATTGCTGCTCTGAGGACTAACCAATTTCACTCAATTGTTTCCTTACTTCAGTCAACACACAAAATCAGCTCAAATGAATTGGGAGATTAACGAACACTCTACTACTGATTCATCATTCTGGTAAACCTATCACAAGAGACTAAGATTAAAAGCCTCTGTACTAAGACTGAAGAAGAAAAGCCTTCTCTACTCCTTTGTAACAGTTACTTCTTTCAGCTCTCTATAAAATAATGAATGAATTTTTGTTTCAAGAACATCTATGTGTCATTATTAAAAGGAAAAATAAATCTATTATGTATTCATAAAATCTCTCATGCAAGTTATATAGCTCTAAATGAAGCCACAGATATAATAATATTATTTGTTGAAATTACAATTTGTGCTCTGTGTGTTTCTTTTTTGTTTCTCATCGAAGCTTTACAACGGTGATTAAAGCAGAATGAAAATAAGATGAAAAATTGTATGTTTGACTGTATAGTACTTAGAGTTCAAAAGTACTTTCATATAAATAAATATTTAAAAGTAAATAACTGCATAACATCCCCAGCTACAAAATCAGCTTGAATTTTTTGAGTATACTGCTAAATAGTTAAAAACTATGGGACAATCCACTGTTAACTAAGTGTGTGTTAAGGGGAAGGGAATTAGAAAAAAAGAGTTAATTTATTATTATTTCAAAATTAGCCATCTGAAGCCTAAGGTCATGTTATATGTATGTCACTGTCTATATAAAGTTTATGTCCACATTTTCGGTATTTATATACATAGCTGCAGTAGGGGATTAACAGTTTTGTAACTTCAGTTAAAGGGATTACAACAGGACAGAGTAATGTGACATGTGAATGGGTGATTGAACTAACAGAGAGAAGACTTCATGCAAGGCCATAGGGCGGGGAAGAAACAAAACAAGCAAAAAATCTAATACCACCACCAACAATAAAACAATACAATGAGGGTTTGTGGAAGAATAAGGTGGTGATAATATGAGTAAACTTAAGTGAAGATATATGGAAAGTGAGGAACTGAAAGGTTACCAAAAGCTAAGACTATGAAGAGCCACCCAAACACAGAACTGAGGGGCTATCATCAGTAACAGAGACACATATGCATTCTGACACCCTGGTGATGATGTTTTCAATGGGGTTTAAGAAAAAGCTGATGCAAGAAGTGCTCTATATATTCAATTTGGTATATATGTTGATGTCGGGCTATTAGTTTCAATTTTCATGTTCGCTCACAGCTAATGTAATGGTTATGATAATTTCTAATAATTATTTTTATACTTTAACCACTATGGTATTTGTGGCATACTTAATATATGCCCAAAAGTACTGGGAGAAGTAAATCTCTAAGCAATAGCTATAATAAATAAAATCAATTACTTAGGAAATTCAGGATTCATAAAAATCCATTCAAATATTGCCAGGTACAGTGGCTCACACCTATAATCCCAGCACATTAGGAGGCTGAGGCTGGTGTACCACTTGAGCCCAGGAATTCGAGACCAGCCTGGGCAACATGGCGAAACTCTGTCTCTGCAAAAAATACAAAACTCTTCTGGGTGCAGTGGCAAAAGCCTGTAGTCCCAGCTGCTTGGGAGGCTGAAGCAAGAGGATGGAGTAAGCCCAGCAGGTTGAGCATGCAGTAAGCCATGATGGCACCACTGCACTCCAGCTTGGGTGACAGAATGAGACCTTGTCTCAAAACAAACAAACAACAAACAAATAAATAATAAATAATATTTAACAAAATAAAATGAAAAGTAAAATCTAGTCAAATAGACATTGTTTTTCAATCTGTGCATGTGTATACTTGCTTAATATCATGGACATATTTGCTTCTATTTTGTATTTTTTACACTAAACTTTTTATTTAGAGATAATTTAAATTAACATAAATTTGTAAGAAATAATAGGAAGAGATTCCTTGTACCATTTACCCAGTTTCTCTAGAAACTCTGGTATAATATAGTTTTGCACATTTATGATATAGTATCACAACCAGAATATTAACACTGGTACATTATAATTCCTTGATCAGAACATCACTCGTGTTTCCCTTTGATAGCCACACTCAGTTCCCTCTTAACTCACTAATTCCAATCGTTAATATATTACTTATGTCTTTAATTTTTGTCATTTCAAAATGGTATAAATTGAAGTTATGGTATGTTATCTTTTGAGATTGATGTTTGCCACTTAGCATAATTTTCTGGGGAATGTATCTAAGTTGCTTTCTGTATCATTATTCATTTTAGTGTTCAGCAGTATTCTGATATGATTTGGCTGTGTCCCCACCCAAGTCTCACCTTGCATTGTAATAATCCCCATGTGTCGGGGTGGGGCCAGGTGGAGATAATTAAATCATGGGGGATGTTTCACCCATACTGTTCCCACGGTAGTGAATAAGTCTCATGAAATCTAATGGTCTTATAACGGGAGCTCCCCTGCACAAGCTCTCTTGCCTGCTGTCATGTTAAGACCTGACTTTGCTCCTCATTCGCCTTCCACCATAATTGTGAGGCCTCCCCAGCCATGTGGGCCTGTGAGTCAATTAAACTTCTCTCCTTTATAAATGACCCAGTCTCGGGTATGTCTTTATTAGTAGTGTGAAAAGAGACTAATACATATTTCACAGCATGGATGTGCCAGTTTGTTTAACCATTCATCCATTGTTGGACACAAAGTTGTTTCTAGTTACTGACTAACAAATAAAGCTGCTATAAACATTCATGTACAAGTTTTTGTGTAAATTTTCATCTCTCTAGGATAAATGAGCAGAAGTACAATGGATGTATCATATAGTAA
Source organism: Homo sapiens (assembly GCF_000001405.40). Lineage (NCBI taxonomy): Eukaryota > Metazoa > Chordata > Mammalia > Primates > Hominidae > Homo > Homo sapiens. The sequence continues at coordinate 31,097,858 of NC_000009.12, read as the reverse complement.
GCATAAATTTATTTTTTAGGTAAACACTATGCTATTTTCCAGAGTGTCTGGATCATTTTTATTTCTACCAGCAATGCATGGGTGATCTAGTTTCCCTATATCATTGTCAGCATTTGGTTTTGTTACTATTTAAATTTTAGCCATTTTGGTAGGTGTGAGGTAATATTTTGTTATATATTTTAATTTGTATTTTCCTAATGGCTAATAATTTTGGACATATTTTCTATGGGCTATTTGCCATCAAGATATTGTCTTTCTGGGAAACACCTTTTGTCAAATTTCTAATTGGCTTTTTTTTTTTTATGGGTGTATTTGCAGAATTCTTTATATATTCTAGATGCCACTTCTATTTAAGACGTGTAGTTTACAGATATTTTCTCCAAGTGTTTAGGTTTATTCTCAACAGAATATTTCATAGAACAAACATCTGTAACTTTGATGAAGTCCAATTTATATTTTTTTCATTTAATAGAGCTTGCCTTTGATGTCAAGTCTGTGAAACGATTGCCTAGTCTGAAATCCTGAAGAATTTTCCCTATGGCTTTTTAAATAAAACTTTTATGTCTTACAGTTAAGTGCATGATCTATCGTGAGTTCATTTTGGTAGAAGGTGTTATGCTTATGTGAAGGTATATTTTTTTCACCTGTGATTGTCCAGTTGCTCTAGCGTCATTGCTGAAAATGCTATTTTTTCCTCCACTGAATTGGCTTTGCACCTATTTGCCTTTTTTTCTACGAATTCCACAAATTCATGATTACTGCAACTGCGTAAGTCTTGAAATAAGGTTACATTTTATTCTCCTTTTTCAAAATTTTTCAGATATTCTAGTTAATACATATCCATATGTATTTTAAAGTTTTCTATACATACAAAATAAGTAAAAAAGTTCTCATTCACATTTTGATAGCAAATGAATTGTCTATTTGTAGAGAATTGACAACTCTACCATGTTGAATCTTCTCATCTATGAACACAGTATATCTCTACATTCATTTTATATTATTTAATGTCATTTATCAACATTTTGTACTTTCAAGAACTTAAGTCCTGTCCATGAATTTTAGATATACATTTAATATTTCTTTTTTCTTCAGTGATTGTAAATAATATTATGTTTTATTTTTGTTGTCCATCTGTTTAATACTAGTGTAAGTAAATAGAATTTATTTTGAAACTTTATCTTCTACTTAGCTGAACTGAATAATTAATTCTAGGAGTATTTTTCTTTTTAGATTTGTTGTGATTTTTCTACATAGTCATGATCTCTTCAGTTCAGGTCATTTTTTTTTTTTTGAGATGGAGTTTTGCTCTTGTTGCCCAGCCCTCAGGTCAGTTTTATATTTGATGTAATTATTGACATGTTAGGTAATAAGTATGCCATTTTATTTAATTCTTGTTGTTGGTTGTTTGCTTTCTGTTTTGCTTTCTTTGGTTTCTTCTTTTCTACTTTCCTGTGGAGTACTATTTTTAAAAAATTCTTTTTTCATTTTTATCTATAGTTTCTTTTTTCTTATCTTTTTAACTTTTAGTTTAGGTTTGGAGGTACCTGTGAAGATTTGTTATGTAGGTAAGCACATGTCACAGGGATTTGTTGTTCAGATTATTTCATCACCCAGGAATTAAGCCCAATACCAAATAGTTCTCTTTTCTGCTGCTTTCTCTCCTCCTATGCTCCATCTTCAAGTAGACCTCAGTGTCTGTCGTTTCCTTCTTTGTGTTCATAAGCTCTCACCATTTAGCTCCCACTTATTTGGTTTTCTGTTTCTGTGTTAGTTTGCTAAGGATAATAGCCTCCAATTCTATCCATGTTACTACAAAATACATGATCTTGTTATTTTTATGGCAGCATAGTTTTCCATGATGTATATGTACTACATTTTTTAAATCCAGTATGTCACTGATAAGCATTTATTATGGGTTGATTCCATGTCTTTGTTATTTTGAACAGTGCTGCATTGAACATATGCCTGCATGTGTCTTTATGGTAGAATGATTTATTTTCCTCTGGGTGTATACCCAGTAATAGAACTGCTGGGTCAAATGGTAGTTCTGCTTTTAGCTCTCTGGGGAGCCACCATACTGCTTTCCACAATGTTTGAACTAATTTATACTCCCACCAACATTGTGTAAGTGTTCCCTTTTCTCCACAACCTTACCAGCATCTGTCATTTTTTGACTTTTAAGTAACAGACATTCGGACTGGTGTGAGATGGTGTCTCATGGTTTTGATTTGCATTTCTCTAATAATCAATATGTATTTCTTCTTCTTTCTTTCTTTCCTTCTTTCTGTCTTTCTTTCTGTCTTTGTTTCCTTCTGTCTTTCTCCTTCCTTCCTTCCTTTTTTTATTTCTTCCTTTTTCTTTCATCTTTTTCTTCTTGAGATGGGGTCTTACTATATTGCCCAAGGTAGTCTCAAAGCCACCCTCCCACTTTGACCTCCCACAGTGCTGGGATTATAGGCATGAGCCACCGTGCCTGGCCAGTATCTATTTCTTTATATAGTTCTTTAGTGGTTGCTCTGGATAATATATATTTATAATTTATTCCAATCTACTGTCATATACATTTTACCAGGTTTAGTGACACATATAAACTTTAAGTCCCTTAACCTAATTTTATCCTTCATAATATAATTCTTTGTAATATAATCATCTTAAATATGTTATCTTATACATTTAGAATCACATTAAATAGTGTTGTAATTTTACTCAAATATTCAAACTTTGTTTAGAAAACAAGGGGAGAAGGGAAATTTAACATAATTTACCCATAAATTGTTATTTTCATATTTTACTTCCTTTCTGATGCTCCAAGATTAAATATTTTGTATTTCCTTTTAGTCCAGAGAACTTTTTTTTAGCCCTTCTTTCAGGAAAAATCTGCTGGTGATAAATTTCTCAGTTTTCCTTCACTTGAGAATGTCTTATTTCCCCATCATTCCTGAAGGATATTGTCACTGTATATCAGGTTTGATTTGACAGTTCTTTGCTTTCAACACTATAAAATGCTGTGCCACTTTCTCTGGCCTCCTGGATTTCTGATGAGAAATACCTTGTCATTCAAATTGTTTTCCTTCTGTAAGTAAAAAATCCTTTCCCTCTCATTGCTTTCAAAAATTTTCCTGTGTCTTTAAGTTCTAAAAGTTTGACTGTGATATGTCTTGGCATTTATTTCTTTGGGTTTATTTTATTGGGTTAGCTCATCATTTAAAATTTGTTGATGTGTGTGTGTGTGTGTGTGTGTGTATATGTATACATATAGCTAAATTTAAGATGTTTTAAACCATCTTTTATTTTTAGTAATTATCGACTACATCTTCTTTCTCCTATTCTTTCCCCAGGACTTCAGTGGCAGTAAAGTTAGACGGTTTGTTATGGTCCCACAAGTCTCTGTGAATCTTTTTATTGCCCTTTTTATCAGGTTACTTTTTCTCTGTTGTTGAGATTGGGTGATGTACATTGTTTAATCTGCCAATTCAGTGTTTGCCTCATTCATTTAAAAATCTCTCTTTGGTTGTTCATTATACGTTTTCTATATTTGCTGAGACTTTTCAATTCTTTGCTGAGCTTTTTTTTTAATTTGTTTCAAGCATGTTTAAAATTTTTCAGTGAAGTATTTAATGGTTACCACTTTAAAATCTCTGCCAGATAATTCTAACACCTTTGTCATCTCAGTTTTGGAATCTGCTGTCTTTTTCTCATTCCTGCTGAGATTATTCTATTTTTTATATGTTAAGTGTTTATGGAATTAAACCTGGGTATCCATGTTTTTATCAGACACTGGATTCTTTTAAAACTTTCTGTTTTAGCTGGCTTCCTCTGACACCTCTTCGGTAGTGTAACTTGGCCACTGCCTTGTTACTACTGTATGCGGAATTAAAGTTCAGGTTCCTCACTTGGCTTCCTTTGATACCAGAGGGAGAAAGGAGATCGTCATTATTGCTGGGTGAGAGTGAGACTTTCAGCTCCCTACAAGAATCCACACTGTGGGAAGTGGAGGAGTGCTCATTTATTACTCCCTACCAGGCTTCCCCCTGACACTATGTAGTGAGGGGTAGACTCCTTACTGCTGGGTATTTCTGAGAGTCCCTACTTTTCTCTAGGCCTCCTCTGGCACCACCTCAGCAGAATAAGAGTGTGTGCCTCATCAATAGCAGTTGGGGCTGAAAGTGCAGGCTCCCCACGCAGGCTTCACAGACACCACAGGTACAGTGGAGCATGTTACTTCTAACCTACCAAATGTATGTTCTGACTCCCTGCTTACCCTTCTATGATATCACCTCACTGGAGAAGGTTTAGGTTGTGATGCCTGAATAAAATCTGGCATTTGCAGAATTGTAGGATTCCCTTTCTGCTTTTGCTGGCATGGTTGGGTTGGGGGCCACAATTTTATTTGTAATGTTTGGCTAGACTAGATAGGCTATTGTCTAAAACATTTCTGTCTTTCTACACTGCTTTTTCCTTGGTCTTTTGTTGTGACTTTTCTGTCTGTTCTCTTTGTTGTTTCCAGGTTACTGTCTTCTTCAGCAACATGTCTGAGATATTCGAACCAAGAATTCCCAGGAGACTCACCATTGTGTTGTTCCTTGGGTTCTGAGGTCCCTAGCTAGTGTTCTTCTTCTTATTTCAGTTTTATATATAATATCAAGGGAGTTTTAGATATTGTTAGTGGGAAGAATAGAGAAAAGCATATCTACTCAATTTCTTTGAAGCAGATGTCTCTCTTTCACATTTCTAAAACTACTCAGTACTATTATGCTCTTTTAAAAAAATTAAATTGGTTTTCTGATCCTGTGTTACTGTGCTAAGAATAATGGCCTCCGGCTACATCCATGTCGTTGCAAAGAACATGATCTAGTTCTTGTTTTATGACTACATAGTATTCCATGGTGTATATGTACCACATTTCTTTATCCAGTCTATCATTGGTGGGCATTTAGGTTGATTATAGATCTTTGCTATTGTGAATAGTGCTCAATGAACATACACAGGCATGTGTCTTTATAATAGAATGATTTATATCCCTTTGGGTATATACCCGATAATGGGATTGTTGGGTCAAATGACATTTCTGTCGTTAGGTCTTTAAGGAATTGCCACACTGTCTTCTGCAATGGTTGAACTAATTTACATTCCCACTAACAGTGGATAGGCATTCCTTTTACTCCACAACCTTGCCAGCATCTGTTATTTTTTGACTTTTTAATAATGGCCATTCTGACTGGTGTGAGATGGTGTCTCATCATGGTTTTGATTTGGATTTCTGTAATTCAGTGATGTTGAACTTCTTTTCATATGATTGTTGGTGGTATGTATATCTTCATTTGAAAAGATAGACTGAATAAAGAAAATGTGGTACATATAAACCATGGAATACTACTACATATACACCATGGAATGCTCCATCCATGCACATACTCTATCCATGCAAAGGACATGATCTCATTTGCAGGGACATGGATGGAGCTGGAGGCCATGATCCTTAGCAAACTAACACAGCAACACCAAACCAAATACCACATATTCTCACTTATAAGTGGGAGCTAAATGATGAGAACACATGTACACATAGAGGGGAACAATACACACTAAGATCTTTCAGAGAATGGAGGGTAGAAGGAGGGAGACATTAGGCAAAATAACTAATGGTACTAGGCTTAATACCTAGGTGATGAAATAATCTTTTCGACAAACCTTCATGACACAAGTTTACCTACACAACAAACCTACGCTTGTACCCCTGAACTTGAAAGTTAAAAAAAATTAAATTGATGTTAAACATAATATAAAAAATATGCTCAATACTTTTATATTTTTATAAAATAATATTTTGTGTTAATGCATTTTAACATAAAATCAAGCCTCAATTTCCTAGCAGTATTTAATGTTGAATAAACTAAAATTCAATGAAATGCTTTTATAAAATATTTTCAATTTTTCCTTTGGTTTTCACTATAAAAACATTAAACTACATGTGACTACATACTAATTAATGCTAGTGATTCATTAGCAATTTTTGGAATTTATTTTCAAAGTCATAGTTTAACTTTTACATAAGCCACAACAAAGATACTACATTATAATAATGTATTTCCATATCATCATAAATCACTCATTTAACATTAGTTATTCTTCCTTTATTTTTATGCTTAATAATAAATTGACACATTTCTTGACTATCCCCATACCCCTTGTTAAACTAAGTCTCTGTTATTCTTTCAGGATGAGATTCTTCAAATTACTGAGCAAAACACTACATAATAATAGGTGAATTTTATTTTTATTTCAGGTTAGTTCCAAGTACACATTTTGAATCATTTCTAAGTACATCATGGGTACTTTGACAGTTCAATATATTTTGGAGTAATAACTACTGGTCTTTTAATCTGGTTATTTAAGACATATGCTTTTTTTTTAACACAACTCTTAAAATAATATTTAACCCCATTACAAATATTTTAAACATTTTTCTTTCCTGCATCTTATTGGGAACTCTTCTTTTCAATCTTCTATGTAGCAGGTAATCTTTGGTAATTTTGAATTTAATGCTTAATAATAAAATCAAACCAAAGAAGCTTGTGAGGATATATGGTAAACAGAAGAGTTTTTTAGAATTCAAGACTGTATTATTCCTACTGATATGTTTGCAGAAAAATAAATCTACAATAATGAGGCAAAAAGTAAGGAATCTGTCATAAAATATCACCAGAGGTAATAAGGAAGAATTTAAAGTTATTGCAATGGATGTTATATACCATTTTTTATCATTCTATAGAAAAAGAAGGGCATTTTGAGGAAAAAAGAATATGTGAATTAAAAGAGGAGGAAGAGATACTATAAATTGGAATATTTAATGACATTAACGTTACTAACATTTCCACAAATTTAGTGTAATTATTTGGGTCATAATATTAATGTCCAACCTTGTTGTACCAACTTCTGTAGTGCATATTTCACAGTTGTTCTTCAACAGAAATCTATATGTACATATTTCTTCTTTTTTCTTGTGACCCTTCTGCTAAGACAAACCGTACATATGTCAGATTGACAATTATTTTTAATGTGACAATGTCAATTAATAAAGAAGATGCGGATCAACAGAAATGATCATTCACTGCTGGTAAGAATGCAAAAGAGTACAGCCACTTTGGAAGAAAAATGAAAGGAGTGGCTGCTGAAAGGGGAAATTGATGCTGTGAAGAGAGACAAGGAAAGGTGGAGAATGATAAACCATAAATTAAAAGGTTGGTGTCAAAGCCAGTGAACATTTTGGGGGGCATATAAGTAGATCAGAGATGCCTCAAACCTAGAAGTCAGGAAAAAATTGAGAGTTGGGTTCAGAACTTAACCATAAGTGTAGAGAGAGCTCTACAAATTTTTTATTCTCTATCTAGACAGGTCTGCAATGATCAGGGCAGCACTGTGATTAGGAAAGAAAGAGACCCCGCACATGAAATCAGGCCATCTGTATTTATACAACTGAAAATCTTTAGTCTCCAGATTCCCCTGAACTTTCTGAGAATGCAGAAATGGCCAGCTTCTCCTTGGTAAGGCCAGTGCTCTCTCTAGCTTGAAGATGATGCAGATGGTTGTGGTAAAGAAGGCAATGTGACCATTTTAAGATCTGTCTCCATCTCTTATCTTGGCTAGTGAGTTAATAACTTGGTGGTTCCTCCTTGCAATCCTATCTCAAAAAAAATATGAGAGTACATGGACCTCAAGATAAATGAGAATCTAGCTAACAACTGTGTACTGATGCCTGCAATAGTACCATATCTTAGGAATTATTTATTAGGTAAAAAGTAACCAGGATTGTTAGCTGCAGCAGAGAATGGAAGCTAGTCATGTTTTCATTAGCTAGACATGTTTTCATGAGTCATCAGCCACAAAGTGATGGCTTTTGGGGGCTGACATAGCCATGCTCACTCAATCCTATCTGGTGAGTGACTCAGGCATTTATTATTATTATTTTTTTGTTACATTTCTGGTAAGAGAAACCACTAAATATAGTCTTTTAGGGAGATGAAATTTTTAGTTACTTAGCTTTGTTAGAAATTAAAATTTATAGAAAGCTTATTTTCATTCAGGAAAGACTCAGTCACTTATCAGATCACCACTGTCCTGAGTGCAGAGGGACTATTCATCTATGCAATACTGTCCATGCATCTATTTTCCATGCTGTGTTGATCAAATGTAATGTTGCTTGCAACCTCTCAATATCTCCCTAATATTTGATCAAAATTTTCATGGCCATTTCCCCACTCAGAAATAATTAATTGAGATGATTTTTCTCAAGCTGTTTCTGAATAGATGAATACTTTAAAATTTAACCAAAGTTAGAAATTATTTTCATTGAAAATTTCAAATACATATACATATATGTAAAATATACCATTTCAAAGTTATATATCGATATCAAGATGATTTAGCTTTTTGTATACTTTATATCTCAAAGTCATATTTTTTCTTTCCAAAGCTTATTTATAGAGCATCAGAGACATACCGAGCTATATCAGGGCTCAGGCTGATATCTCTTTCTTTGGAAAAAAAAATTTTAGCTATGTATTTTGTTCCCAAGACATTAAGGAGGTGATGAGCTCATTGTGTTACTATTAGAAAAGATGATTTAGTTAATTGGTCAGTAAGAGAATATGATTAGTGTAATTTTCCTTAAAGGTACGAGTGTCACACTTAAAGTCTGTTTCCCACATAGCACTTTTGTATTTAAATAAAGGTTAACAAAGAAAAGAATGAAAAGGAGACACGATAATAATTTCTAGCAGTCTGTTTAAAATTATTTGTCATACTGAATTACCAGTTTCTTGATATTATTATTTTAAGGACCCTCCAAAGCCTTATAGTTTATTAACTTGTGCATTGAAAATGTACTCATTGCAGTGAATATTTCACTGTAAAGACATTTTCATAATAGAATTTGACCCAATCATTATATGTCTTTTTTAAATAATTTAACAAGCATTGACTTCCTAATGTGAAATGAGCCAATTAAATTCATTTTAAAAATTCATAAGTTTCACTAGGTTGCTATCAAATTTAAGTAAGAATAGTATATGATATACTGCAATTTCATTTTTTATATTTGAAAATACAGTTAATCTCACCACAATTATAGTCCTCCATCACATTTCCCAATTGAATTGATATTTCAGGTCATCTCTGATCTTCCTCCCTAACTTGGTTTGCTAAAGAGATAAGAAGTCATGCTGAAGAATTCCATCTTCTGGTCAATTGGGAAAGCTCTGAATCAAATTTACTTGTGGCTTTTATTCCTTTTTCTTTTCTATTAGGAAATTAGAGAAGCATCAATTGCACTAGAACAAATATGTATCTTTAGTTTAATGAGCATAGTAACCAAAGAAGATTCCAGCTTTAATAGGTCTCAGAGACTGGTATTTAACTTAAAAATAAAAACATCCTAAAAAAAAACTGGGAAAAAAACATCCTAGAGGAAAAAAGTCAGTTAACAAGACTTGACTCAGTAATTAAACTCCACTCCTGGAAGAGACATAAGAATTTTAGTAGGACAATGAAATTGTGAAGACCACCTACCTTTGAGACTCTGCCTAAATCCCCGGATCCTTAAAAGCTAATGTGTTAAATTTAAAAATCTTAGGTGTCTAATTGAATCATTCCTCCCACTGATAATATATTAATAGAGTGACAGAGAATGGACATCAGGATATGCCTACACAGGCTTTTTCTGGTTGTGTGTCCTCCCTGGAGCTGGTAGAAATAAAAGGGATTCAGTCACCAGAACTAGCCCAGAAAGTAAGTTTAGCATACTTTTTCGTTTGCATATTGAAAGCTTCAGAGTCATGGTAACAACATCCTGTTGTCTTTCTTTATTTCAGCTCCAGCAATGTTTGAATAAAGCAAGTACAGTATTTTTCCCTAGGAATACAGCTAAATACAGAGATGAAAGACCTCTACAATGAGAACTACAAACCACTGCACAAAGAAATCAGAGATGACACAAAAAAATGGAAAAATATTCCATGCTGATAGGTAGGAAGAATTAATATCATTAAAATGGCCATACTGCCCAAAGCAATTTGTATATTCAATTCTATTCCCATTAAGCTACCATTGACATTCTTCACAGGACAAGAAAAAACTATTTAAAAGTTCATATGGAACAAAAAAGAGGGTCCGAATAGCCAAGGCAATCCCAACCAAAAAGAACAAAGCTGGAGACATCATGCTACCCAGCTTCAAGTTATACTACAGTGCTATAGTAACCAAAACAGCATGGTACTGGTACAACAGACATATAGACCAACAGAACAGAATAGAGAACCCAGAAATAAGACTGCACACCTACAACTATCTGGTCTTCAACAAATCTGACAAAAACAAGCAATGGGGAGAGGATTCCCCATTCAATAAATGGTGCTGGGATAACAGGCTAGCCATATGCAGAAGAGTGAAACTGGATATCTTTCTTATACCATATACAAAAATTAACTCAGGATGGATTAAAGACTTAAATATAAAACCCCAAAGTATAAAAAACCCTGGAAGACAACCTAGGCAGTACTATTCCGGACATAGGCATAAGCAAAGATTTCATCATGAAGATGCCTATTGCAACAAAAGCAAAAGATGACAAATGGATCTAATTAAACTCAAGAGCATCTGCACAACAAAAGAAACTAGCAACAGAATACACAGACAAGCTACAGAATGGGAAAAAATTTTTGCAAACTATGCATCTGACAAAGGTCTAATATCCAGCATCTATAAGGATCTTAAGCAAATTTACAAAAAAAAAAAAAATCCCATTACAAAGTGGGCTAAGAACATGAACAGATGTTTCTCAAAAGGAGACATACATGTAGCCAACAATTATATGTTTAAAAAGCTCAACATCACTGATCATTAGAGCAACGCAAATCAAAACTACAAGATACCATCTCACACCAGTCAGAATGGCTATTATTAAAAAGTAAAAAAAAAAAAAGATGCAGGTAAGGTTGCAGAGAAAAAGGAATACTCCCACACCGTTGGTGGGAATGTAAATTAGGTTCAACCATCGTAAAGGACAGTGTGATGATTCCTGAAAGACCTAAAGACAGAAATATCATTTGACCCAGCAATCCCTTTACTGGGTATATACACAAAGGAATATAAATCATTCTGTTATAAAGACATATGAAGGCATATGTTCATTGCAGCACTATTCACAATAGCAATGACATAGAATCAAGCTAAATGGCCATCGATGATAGACTGGATAAAGAAAATGTGGTACATGTACATCATGGAATACTATGCAGTCATCAAAACGAACTAGAGGGTCATGGATGGAGCTGGAGGCCATTATCTTTAGCAAACTAACACAGGAACAGAAAACCAAATACTGCATGTTCTCACTTATAAGTGGGAGCTAAATGATGAGACCACATGGAAACATAGAGGGGAACAACACACAATGAGGCCTATTGGGGGGTGAAGGGTGAGAAGAGAGAATGAGGAAAAATAACTAATGAGATTTATACCTGGGTGATAAAATAATCTGCACAACAAACCCCCATGACTCAAGTTTACCTATGTAACAAACCTGTACATATACCCCTGAACTTAAAATGAAAGGCTTTTTTAAGTACGGCATTTTTCTAAAATTAGAAGACCCATATGATTCATTTCTGAAAAGAGCAAATCAGCAGTAAGGCCCTACCTGGTAAATGGTCCCTGATGTGCAGGCAACAGATGCATGCTTTGGCTTTATGTGTGTGTCACATGCTATCATGTAAACTGGGTGACACAGCTTATGTTGTAAACTTCAGGAAAATCACTTAACATCTGACACTGCTTTGCCTCTTATTTAAGTCCTAATAAATCCATTTCTATGGCTTGAGAAGTACTAGGGTGGGAAGGATTTATTTTGTAAATAAAGGAAATGGAGTTTCATTACTTTTGTGTATTTGGCAGTTCTACCATTACTCCCTGGTAGGAAGTAAAACACATTTAAAACAGTGGTAGGGAAAGACGAAGCTATTTCTTCCACTTCACCAGAGTACACAACAGAGCCACAGGACTGCAGATTTTGCAGGGGATCATTGGCAGAAGTTAAGTGCAAGCAGCAGGGTACCAAGAAAGCTGGTTGGCAGAAGGACCTGAGTCAGAGAGTTTTGCTTAAGGAAGTAATATTACTGAGCATAAATAGTGAGACTTATTTGGATGAACAGGATCAAGGAGAAGCAGTAATTGCAACAAGCAGAAGTATCTGTCTATTTCAGGAACCACAGGATTCGGTGAAAGTAACACAATTGACCAGTTTTAGCGGTGATGATGTTTAGTAAATGTGGTGGCGTGTGATAGTCAGAACAAGGGAAGGTCAAGTAAAGAAGAGAATTAGGGTGGGGAGACCATAGAAAAACAACACTAAAGTTCTATGGTACACTTAACTAGACTTCATGAGAATGTGAAAAACTTCCTGTGGCAGAGGCTCTGCAATATATTGATTCTAGTTGTTTTCCCAAATTTAAATTACCTTTCTCAGTTAAAATCTTCTAAAGAAAAATTAATATAATGACCTTATTTTTTTTTCATTGACAGGGATTAATTTTAGACACATACCACAGACTTCAGGTGTTTCAGAAATGTTAAAAAAAAAAGTCAACTTCTGCTGCAGCGTCTGATAACAAACCTCTATGTATCTCACTCTCACTGGAAATTATCCATTTCCTATTGTCTAAAATAAGCATTTACGTTTTTCTCCTGATTGAGCATGGAACGCCAGTTATCATTTACAAAATTATGATGATAGTTTGAGTACAACAAATAAACTTAAGTTCCAGCCTTTAAGTTTTGAAACTGCTCTAGTAGGTACTATAAATATGTTTTAACTTTTATTGAGCATCTAAATCATTAGATAGCATTGAGTTTCTGTACATTTTAACCCAAAATCTATGAATAATCATAGAAAATATTAATATACATATTTTGTATTTTAGGAAACAAATATTCAGACACATGAAGTAACTTGAAAACTGAAGATATATATATTTATATATATATGATAATTTGGTAATAAATACAAGGTTCACAGTATATATATACACACAAACACACACACACACACACACACACACACGGAAATTTCTTATAATTGCCTCACATTTTTACTTCGCTTTGATAGTGAAAATCTAGCTGAGCCCAGTTTGCATGTGGCTGTACATTTTCTTTAACTCTCCATTTCAACTGAACTTAGCTAAGCCGTTTTAGCTGTCAATGATAGGAAAGGAGTTACATGTGAATAATTCATTAGGCTGAGTGGGCAAAGATTCCAGTTTTGAAACAGTGCTTCTGTTACCTAATACAGAATTTCATGTCAGCTGCCCACCTACACAGGCATTTGTTCAATCTGGTTATAGCCAGTTTTATTAAAGAGCTTTTTAAAAAATAAAACTAGCCCACTTCTTTACATGTTTAAATTTCCTTTATAATTACTCTACTGAGAAAATCGTTGTGCAATTCTATTACTTTGCAGAACTTTCTCCCAAATGATATGGTGGAAACAGTTTGCTTTAATCCTTCAGTCTAAGGCCGTATAGCACATTTCATGGCGTGTGTCCTGTGAGAAGAGTAATATGTACCAAGTATCATGAGCTCATTTTCTCATTTGCTTTGTCAGCTATTCTAACTGAATAATTTTATTCACATCAGTTTTCTCTTTTCTTTTTGACATACATGAACAAAAATTAACTTCTGCATTTATTTAATTTTAAAGTTAGATGTCGGAATGCCTTTGCCAAGATCAGCAAGCCCTGTCCTCACTTCAAGGCACATGTTCTTTTACCGCTCAGAAAGAGTGCCATCATCCTGTTCTTAAAAATATCTCATTAAAAAGCCTGTCATCCTACAACATACACTGGACATTCTGAATTTTTTATCTTATATTTCTTAAAATGCTGGCTTCCTTACCCTACTGCAGACTTACTCAGCCTTTGTACTATTGATATTTTGGGTCAGATAATTCTTCCATATAGGGGGCTGTCTCGTGCATGGTAAACTATTAACAGCAGCCCAAGCCTCTGCTCTCTAGATGCCAGTAGCACCTGCTTTCCCCCAAAGTTATGACAAACAAAAATTTCCTCCAGAAATTGTCAAATATTCTTTGGCCAGGCAATTCCTCCCAGGCTAGCTAAGAACCACTAGTTCTAGTTATATGGATTATAAGGCATTTATCTGCTTGTCTAGATGAATAGATATATGTTTTTTTGTACCTGTGTTCTTCTTCAATCTGTATTTTATTTTAAATATAAAAATAACATTGCAATTTTAAAATTAATATAATTTATTCCATATTATACATGTTTTATGATCTGTTTTCCAGAATTAATTATATAATTAAACGGTGTTTATTTAGAAGCACTCAACACGTTATTAGACTCTATCTCAGAACAGCCTTTGAGAAGAAAACACCTATGAAAAAAATGCATTGTTTCAATCATTCAGTCACTGAAATTATTATTTGTTATAAGTTAACCATAAAATGGATACTATAATAGGTCCTTATATTCAAAGCTAAAACAAATATTGTTTATGACCCAATGGAGAGTATTTAGTGTTTTAAAATATTAACATAAGAAAAATATAATGTGAAATGTGACCGCATATTAAATACAACTAATCTAAGTGAGTCTAAGAAAGTGTTGCCAGAGAATTGCCAATTGGCACTTAAACTGAGGTGTAACAAACATGAGAACCTAGCAATCAAAAGGTTTGAGCCTTTCTGAGATGGAGAAGTCAATGCTTGAAGATGATGATTATGATGAAGAGAGCTACCCACATTGGTTAATGAATTTGTGCTGGGTAGTTTGCCAAGCACTTTCAGAGCCATTATATCTCACTTTGTGCTTTCTAATTAACCTTTCTATTTAGATCTAATCATTAAACAACTCTTTGAAGTAATTTTTCTTATTGTGATCTTAGAAATGCAGATAGCATGGTATAGGGAGGTAAATAATTTGGCAGAAGTCATGCAGCTTGAGTTGTATAGTTAGGTATCAGTCCCAAATATGACAGCCTCCTGGGTCAAGGTCCCTAATCCTTACACTTTATTATATTATGTTGCTACATTAAAATACTTTAGAAAAGAAGTGAACAAAGTTCATAATTTCTGGAGCAAAGAGGGTAGTTAAGACAAAATGAGTAGGGTCTATGAGATAAAGAGATGATTCAAAATAGCCTTGAAATGTAATATAACCAGGGACCAGATCATGAAAAGCCATGTTAGAGAGACTGGACATCCCAAAGGCATGGGAAAACTAAAACCACATTTTAATCCATGGAATTTACATAATTAGCTTAATTTTTTAAGGTCCACTTTGTTTGAAGAAAGAACTGATTAGAGAGGGGTGAGAAGTTCAGTTGGAAAGCAGAGATCTGGACGAGAAATGAATGTAAGTAACATCTTTGGGTGAGGGAAGTCGATTTGGAGAAGAATTGAATACACTTGAAATTTAGTTGCGACATTTAATTGGCAGATATTGCACATAGACTTTCCCAAGAAGCCAATTTTAAGATGACAAGGAGCTTTAGGAAAGTAATTAGAAAGCATTATTGAGAATAATTAACACTTGTGGGGTAAGAGAAAGAGGGAGGATTGGGCAGAGAGTAAAGTTAGGCTGCAGTTCCACATCAGGAAAGGATTTAGCTGTAACTGAGTTGGCCATTCAGAGTTGTCCTGGGTTGGACACAAAGTGCCAAGTCTTTGGATCTACCCACATGGAGTAGTCACTGGATGAAGGCTGCCCACAGCAAAAGGGAGAAAGCATAGGGAGGTCTTTTCAGCTGGGAGCAATCCCTGAAGAGAGATGACAGCTGATGACTGACAACTGGCAGCACTTATTGCTACTAGGTCTTTCAGCCCTGAAGAACTCTGTGGATGGAAGCATCATAATATCCAGAATAGAAGGCCTCCTGAAAAGGCTGGAAGGTGATGGTAAAGAGGTATGAAGGATTACTCCCAGGTTAATGAATAGAGAAATAGATGGTATGGCCCTTCCAAATAGTCAGATAATCATCAAGAATGGTCAGGTATGTAGAGAAAGGTGACCAATTCAATTTTGGACAGGTTTGAAATTGAAGGACCCATAAAATGAAACATTTCAGTTGCCACCAACATACATGAGTCTAAAATTTAGAAGAGAAATATGATAAAGAGTTGACATTCATCAATATAAGAATATAATTGACCACATGGACTGAATCAAATTACCCAGGGAGAATATTTTGAGAGAGAAAATGGTGTCTAAAAATGCAATCCTAGCACAGTTTCATTTGATATTATTTACTTTTAAATCTGGGATATAAATTAATGTCTTCAGTTTACTTTATTCATGTTTTATTCACAATCCATTATAGGAAAAAAGAGGTTATCATTCCTCAGAAATATCCTACAATTATCTAAGAAAGAATAGATGGTAAATAAATAACATACAAAATATATCCATGAAACACTTTTAAGTAGTCAAAATGGGGAGAGAACATTATCATGGCATTATAGATTATATACAGGGATTTTGGTGTAGACGGAAAAAACATTGTAGTTTATGCCTGGTAACTGCATCTACAGACTTTCCTGACAGGATAGCTATGTTTTGGGTCTTGATTTCTGCTGATTATCTGAAAATTGTTAAAGATCATAGGTGAATTATTTCTGTTTTGTATTTTTTTCTAAATACTTGTTCCATTTCATCTACTTTTTTATTTACCTATTTATTTTGAAATAGCATTGTCTCAGACAAAATATTGTGATCTCTAAAGCAGTTTGGGGTAAGATGAAGATAAAAATTTAAAAATTATACCATATATTTTGCCATTTTCTCTTTGGTTTCTTTGCTTATTTTTCTTTTTGCATGTCTCCATAGACCTTTAAAATGGAAGCTTCTGTGCTGGATTTTATAATTTCTTCTGATTAATATAGCATCCCATTAAGCTTATTAAGTCTGCTCATTTCTTCTCACTAAAATTATTCAATTGTCAAACAAATAATGATAAGGTTGAGGGGCCATTTTATTATGAAAGTTTGAAAATCACTATTCAAATATACATACATCAGCTGTTATGTGCCACACTGAACCCCTGGCTTTTGGTAACAGGTATTAAAATTGTGGTAATTAATATTAGAGTAGTTGTTTTGTTATTAAAAACATTACCTATTGTAGTGTTTGCTTGAATATATATTAGACTGAAAAATAACTTATCTGTGAAGACCTTTGTCAGATCGGAACTCGAGTATTGGACCAATGTAGCATTCATTTTATATTTTGAGCCATCACATATTCTTTGTCTTCAATTCATACCGCTTCAGTTTTTTATATTAAATAGATTTGTAAGCCACCAAAGATCACAATTTCACCATGAATTTCATAGTACAAATCTACTTTTAGTGCTATTTCTTGAACAAAGTCAAATATTTAATGAGAAACTACTGTGCAAATCGTGTATATCCTCCAATAAAATTAGACAACTCTATAGCAATCACCCTACTCCTCGCACTCATATCTCTCCTTTTTCAATTTTTTAAAATTTGAAATCTGATTTTCAAATGTTAATGTAAGTCAGACAAATTAAAGGGACATGAAATAATTTTGTAATTATTTTTATTAATATTCAGTAGAGAAAACAGAAAATGAAACAGTAATTCAAGTAAATTTATTTCTTGAAGCTCATTTCTATTATCTATTTTATTTATTATTTAGCAGAGATGATTTTGAGTAAAATAAGGATCATTTTGCAAATTTTTAAAATCTTCAATCTAGGAGCAAGAACATAGTCAATGTTCCCTGGGTGTCGTTCAGATATTAGCGAAATCAGCAGCCTGTGGAGGCCTAATTAGACCTGATTTTGAATTATTTTAACCCCCTTAGCTCTATATGCTTATTTTTGAGCCCCCAGGGTCTAGCTCATATTTTTCTTGAGCTATACATCTAAGACTTTAGAAGATCAAGTTTTATTCTTAAAGAAAAGTAATTAGGATGCTTGACCTAAATCAGAAGATTACGGTGTAGACTAAATTAGAAACTGACATATAATATATGTTTTACTCTTCTCTGTATCTTGGTTTGGATTTATGGTTACATCATGGTCTGCTGTATGACGAATTTGTAGTCATCATAAGGCAAATAGAGTTAAGATTTTCTTTTGACTTAATTTATTTGGATTTTCCTTTTTCTGATTAGCTGTTGCTTTTTCCAAAGGCAGGTTAACCTCATCTATTTTTTAATTCAACACTAATTGTATTTAAACATTTTTTTCAGTTTAGAAATTTAGAATGCATTTTTATCCTTTAAACAAGTTACTATACTATTAATAGTGTAATTAATGTTTCCTCAATTTTATCGGATTAGGAACTAATAGAAAAACATAAAATTGAGAAAAAGATTGCAGCATTTTATGAAGTGATGTCATCCAATCATCTCTCAAATATTTTCAAAAAGGCAGATCAGGAGTTGGAACACGGCTGAGGGACAGGGAATTTAATCGACTGATTTATTTAACCAACTTGTTTTGGGCATATCATTATAATGTTTGTGAATATAACAGTTTAAGATGAAGAAATGCTAATTTGTAATTTAGTTAGCTATTCCTTTTCCAGAACTGAGGATCTTAAATAATCATTACCTGTGGGGCCTCATTCCCTTGTGATCTTCAATAGTGTATGTTTTGCTCTCAGGGCTTGGAGTTGTCTACTTTGCTCCTTAGTGCTGATTCTAAGATATGTGTCATGGTTTCTCTCTCAAAAACCCTACCTAAAATGTATACATCAGATTTCTGTATCTGCTGCCCGTCTTTGTTGCGCTACTTACTGACCTCATAGTCACAGCCCCTCTTTTTTGAAGCTTTCAGCCCTCTATGACTACATGTCTTCCTCTTTATCACTCTTCCTGGTATCATTGAGGGTGACTTCAATATCCCATCCATTATCCATATTCTTATCCACTGTCTTTGACCACCTCACCTTAAAATATGTATTTTCCCTCCTATTCAATCACCTACTCTTATAGCCTTAATCCAGTCCTCACAAATAATACATCTAAAACCTTAATTTTTAATCATCCCACTTCCTTACCATTATCTCCTATTTCACAGTGTTGGGTTGTTGAAAATCTTTTAACAATGAAATATCAGTTCCTATGCCTATCTGAGTCCAACCTTTTCAACTGTGCACAAGATTTCAGACCATCTCTTCTATTCGCACTTTGCCTCTGTAATTTTCTTCTGTTTTACCTGCTTTATAAGTATTTTATCTGTTGGGTAATTAGCGTCTGAATACAATGCACTACATATCCCATCACAAAACTGGAAATTGTCTTGCCTTCAAAGTCTTCTCTGCCTAATGCTCACTTACCTAAAGTTGCATCTCTACTAATGGGTCTACTTCCCACACTTCACAATTCTCTCTTCAACTCAAGTAATAAAGAAATTACAGTTTTGACCACTAAACCCTGAATGAGGTCATCAAAGGCCTCCCTCTGGACAACCACAAGAGTTATTTCTCATTTTTTGTCATATTGTCCTTTCAGCAGCACCTGCCTCTTACTCTTTTTTTTTTTTTGGCTTCTGGGATATCACACTGTTCACGTTTTCATCCTACCTCATAGCTGCTTCTCAGTATCTTTTTCTAAACTTTCTATTTCAAAAGATGTGAGGTGTTCTTGGAAATACCTATCTTCTTATTTTTTCTATCTGTAATATTTACCCAATGATTTCATCAAAGTATGAGATTTTAAATATCAAGACTATATAGCCAAATTCTAGATTTGGGACCCTTCTCAACTGAGCTCCAAATCCATCTATTCAACTCCCTTTTAAACACCTCTACTTGAATGTCTCATAGAATTACCCTTGTTCCTTTTCTTTATTTCCCACCTCACATACAGTTCATCAGTAAATCATGTTTTCTTTGCATGAAAAATATTTCTCAAATATGACTGCTATAAGCCTAGTCCAAGTCACTATCATCATTCTCCCATAATATACTATTTTAATATTCTAATTACCTTCAGTCTTACACTTAGCCTTTTATTCATACTTTACTTACAGAGATATTTTCAAAGAAAATCTAATCATCTTATTCCCTACTTAAAATATAAGATGCTTACCATTACCTGGGGAAATATCCATGATCCAGCATCTGACTACCTTGCCAATCTCATATCCAACTTTTTTTCTCTCTTTTGTGCTCACTTCGCTTTAACACTCATCTTCTTGTTACCCTTAAAGCTGCCAACTATTTGTTGCCTCTATGTCTTCGTTATTTTAGTTTGTAGTGTTATAATCATTCTTCTTGAAAGTTTCTACCCATGTGGTAGCTTCCTATGCTTCAGATCTTTTTAAATTTTAACTCTTTAGACAGGCCTCCTCTAATCATTCTGTGTAAAACCTTGTTATTTGCTACTGTCAGATTTTACTTCACTATTTTTCTTTAGCATGTATCGCCAGTGCAAATGATATTAACTATTAGTTGATTTCATGAATCATTTTCCCTTTTTCCTCATTACTATGTAAATTCTATGAAAACCGGTATTGCTTTTGTTCATCTTTATATCTCCAGATTCTACAACAGAGCTTCACACATGGTAAATGCTTGATAAATATTTCTGGAATAAATGAATGCATATAAATTTGCCCAGTTATCTAATCCAGAATGAATTTTTAAAATGTTTAGGATTAAGATATTTAAAACACAAAGTAAAACATTTATCTAAATTTTCTTGGTTTTGTATGCTTCTGTATACAGAAAAAAAAATTCTTTCATGAAACATTTCTAGAAACCAGGAGCACGTGTGTGTGTGTTTGTGTGTGTGTGCGTGTGTCTGTGTATTCTATATAGGAATATACCAAATGCAAGGAAGGGCTATTGGCAAACATCAGTTCCTAAGAGCTATATGTATAAAGATGAAATGGTATATAAATATTGAATCTATCTTCCTCAGAAAGAACATTTGCCTTCTGTAGCAAAATTGGTATTTTCCCATGAATTATAATATATAAGAAACTACCAATTATTATGTGATACGAACTGAAACCTTTAATACTTTTTATATCATTATTTATATCATTAATACTTTATTATATCATTGAGACTGGATGTAGATATCTTTAAACAACACCTCACTCATTAATTTGTTATATCCTACCTGACTAATTTTGATTTATTTATTTTAAAATACTAACAAGCCATTCTAGCAAGACAACATATCTACAAAATAAATTCATAGAAAGAAAATACATCTAATTTATTAAAGTGTATACAGAGCCCTGTATCCAGATATTCTATCTATTTACCCCTAACAAAATTGTCTTAGTTATAAGTAAACATATCAAATAAGACTCTGCTATTCTTCAGGTATGTTTAAATTTAAACTTTATACTTTGTAAAATTATTACTACCTTTTGGATTTCCCATGTTTCTAATGATTTTTTTCTTTGTCAAGAAACAAATTGAATTATATTTAGGAAAAGCCAAGAGGGTTTATCTGACATTACAGTGTCATTTTTAGTCCTCTATGTATTCAGAATTATTCCTCCTCTATAAATCAGCCTCCTAATGAAGTATTAAAGCATCAAAGTAGTTTAAAAGAAAATTGATTCATTTTTAATATAAAGTTATTTTCTCACCACAGAATTATAGTTTAGGTCAGTAAACTTTTATCTGAGTATGTTCTATGTAACAAGAACCTAGTTGGTGAAATGAAACAAAAATACGAAAAAAAATCATATTTTTAAGGAACTTGAAATCTAGTAGGTAGTAGGAAGTCAGATGTAGATTTAGTTCAATGTGTTAATCCATAAAATTACCAAAATAAAATATATTACCATATAAGTCTTTTTTTCTAATCAAATCATTATAGATGTTTAGTGTAACATATTGAAGACAAGCAGCAATCCAGGTAGAATGGACTTGGAAGATTTTATTACCCTCATGAAAGCTGTTCAGTAACAGGGATAAGGGCAATTTCATGCTTTTATAGAGAGGAAATCATTCACCCAAATATGAGCTCCTGACAATATTCATTTCCCGATCTTCCTTCACATATTATTTTCAACCGATTATTTTAATGTTATTTATAAAAATGCATAGAATTCTATGCATAAAAATGTATAGAATTTTTTCAAACATTATTTATAAAGTTAGCATAGAAGCAACTGGAAATATGTATTTTTTTTTTCCAGGACATGGAGGTTAGGTACCATGCGGGTTCTTATCCTCACCTTGATAACTCTTGACAATCAATGTCTATTGTCATGCAGCACAGCTCCAAAATTGTACTGTGAGGGAGTGTAGGTAGAGACAGCAAGGAAAATTGTCAAGCTTTACAGTATTTTTGTGTGTGTACTGATTGAGCACTTAATAAAAATTGTGACTTGTACATACAGATTTATAATTTCTTTATCTCTCGGTTATAAATATTTCTCAGTTAAACAGTTTTAAAATACCCAGCTCATAAAATTATAATAAGATAAAATCAGATAACATGTCTAGGTCCTAATACATTCATAGTGTATGTAATTAAGCCTTGTCCTTTCCCACTTGGTAACATACATTATGTACTTTGGGTGCACTCACACTACTAAGGAATAAATAATGACATGTTAAGTATGTTGACATACTTAAAATATGAAGTATCCAGCAGATAATGCTATAATCAAAGTGAGAAGAAATACCCTTGTTTCCTTTTGAAAATAGGGTTTGACAAAATCTTTGAACACTTTTTCTCATTTGGTTAATTTTATTGATATTTAGGTGCAATGCTGAATTTCCTTTAAAGTTGTCATTAATGCATTATTTAAATCATGATTACTTAATACTTGGAGCAGATTCAAGATGTAGAATTAAAAAGAAGAGAGTCCTGGCTTAGAAGTGTTAATTCTAAGTATGAATGTCATCTCTACACTTAGTTTATATTCTCTGAGCTTCAGTTTTATTATTTATGAGTTTGAATATCTAAATTCCAGAGTTTTAATCTAAAATAACAAAACGAAATATGTAAAAGAGCATAGTACATGACATGAGCAAAATTAAAGCTACTTAGTTTTTATTTTTTGTATTTAAGTATGATTTACTTTACTACACAAGTCATTCAACCTTACTACATGTATTAGAATTCTTATTTCAAGAATTTTTTTAAAAAACATTAGTTAATTTAGAAATTGTATGCATGAGTAAAACTGGTATGAATATTTAAAAAAATCAAAAACATTTGATTTAACATCAAGCATTAATACCAATATTATATATGTATATTCTTTTTTAAAAATATATTTTTGTAGGTTTTTGGGGAACAGGTGGTATTTGGTTACATGAGTAAGTTCTTTAGTGGTGATTTGTGAGATTTTGGTGCACCCATCACCCGAGCAGTATACACTGAGTCCAATTTGTAGTCATTTATCCCTCAGCTCCCTCCTACACTTTCCCCCAAGTCCCCATAGTCCATTGTATTGTTCTAGTGGCTTTGTATCCTCATAGCTTAGCTCCCACTTGTAGTGAGAACATACGATGTTTGGTTTTCCATTCCTGAGCTACTTCACTTAAAATAATAGTCTCCAGTTCCATCCAGGTTACTGTGAATGCCATTAATTCATTTCTTTTTATGGCTGAGTAGTATTCCATCATATATGTTTATGTGTGTGTGTGTGTATATATATTTTTTTTTCCATGCTTTTTTTATATCTTTAAATTTTATTTTAACAGATTCAAGGTGTACAAATGCAGTTTTATTATATGGATATACTGCATAACAGTGAAGTCTGGGCTTTTAGTGTACTCATCAACTGAATAGTGAACATTGTCCCCAGTAGGCAATTTTTCAAACTTCACCGTCTCCCAACCTCCCACCTTTTGGAGTACGCAGTGTTTATTAGTCATCCTCTGTATGTCTATGTGTATCCATTGTTTATCTCCTACTTATAAGTGATAACAGGCAATATTTGATTTCCTGTTTCTGAGTTATTTCAGTTGGGATAATGGCTTCAGTAATATTGGTATCAAACACACTACATTGTTTTTATTCAGCCATCCATCGATGGACACTTAGGTTGATTCAGTAATTACTACTGTGAATGGTGCTGCAATAATCACATAAGTGCAGATGTCTCTTTGATATAATGATTTATTGTCCTTTGGATAGATACCCAGTAGTGGGCTTGCTGGATTGAATGGTGGTTCTAGTTTTAGTTCTTTGAGGAATTGCTATACTGTTTTCCACAGAAGCTGCACTAATTTTCCCTCCCACCAGTAGTGTATCAATGTTCCCTTTTTTCCAGATCCTTGCCAACGTCTATTGTTTTTTGACTTTTAAGTAATAGCCATTCTGGCAGGTGTAAGATGGTATTTCATTGTGTTTTAATTTGCATTTATTTTATAAATAGTGATGTTGAGCATTTTCTCAAATGTTTGTGGGGCTGATTGTATGTCTTCTTTTGATACATTTATATTCTGCTCACTTTTTAATGACATTATTTGATTTTTTTTCTTGTTGGGTTGTTTGCGTTCTTAGTATATCCTGGATATAGTCCTTTGCCACATGCATAGTTGCAAATATTTTCTCCAATTCGTTAGGTTGTATGTTTATAATTATTTTCATTTTTGCTATGCAGAAACTTTTTAGTTTGTCACACTTTTCTATTTTTGTTTTTGTTGCATTTGCTTTTGAGGTCTTAGTCATAAATTCTTTGCCTAAGCAAATATCCTAAACAGTTTTTCTTATTTTTTTTAGTATTTTTATAGATCTTTTAGTTTCTTTAAATTTTTATAGGTTTTTTAAAGTTTGGGGTCTTACATTTAAGAATTTAATCCATCTTGAGTTTTTTCTTGTATATGGTAAGAGATATGGGTTTAGTTTTATTCTTCAGCATACGACTATCCAACTTTTCCAGCATCATTATTGAATAGACTGTCCTTTCACCAGTCTAGATTTTTGCTAACTTGGTCAAAGATCAGTTGGTTGTAGGTTTGTGGCTGTATTTCTGGTTTCTCTATTTTGCCCCATTAATCTATGTGTCTATTTTTAATACCAGTACCATACTGTTTTTGTTACTATAGGCTTGTAGTATAATTTGTTATGGAATGCGATGCTTACAGCTTTGTTCTTTTTGCTTAGGATTGGCTTGGCTATTGAAGTTCTCTTTTGTGGCCATATGAATTTTAGGATTGTATTTATTCTAATTCCATGAAAAAATGACTTTGGTAATTTGACAGAAAGAAGAATTGATACCAATACTACTGAAACTATTAAAAAAATTAGGAAGAGAGATTCCCCGCTAACTTATTTTAGGAAACCAGTATCACCCCTATACAAACCCAGGGAAGGATGTCACAAGAAAAGTCTGTCTGTTGCTTGTCCCAACTGTTATATCTTGTTCCAGTCTGCTGTGGCCCGTATTTATGTCTTTGATGCTTTTGGCAAAGGTCACCCAAGCCCTGAGAATGCTCTGCTCTGAGATGGGCTAAACAGACAAGCCATTTTACTAGTCCCTTGGGGACTAGACAAGGTGAAAATGGACAATCACATTTATGTAAGAATAAAAGTCTTAGTTGTTCCCTTTCGTGCTAGAAGTCTACTCCAGGAGTTTGGGCTGCCATACTGATGTCCACTACCAACATGAGGAGGGAAGGATGGCAAGTGAGGAATTCAAAATGCCATTGATGGCAGCGGCTGCCATGCTCATGCCGTGGGTGTGGAGGGTGGGTGTGGCAGGGGTGTTCTGGGAATAGCCCCACCAGCAGCTGCAGACCTAGGCTTCCTGCTCCGCGGAGCAGGCAGGAGCCGGGGACAAGCAGAAGTCCAACCCCTTCTGAACTGGTGGGGCAGGAGCTCCCCGGGTGCACATGAGGCTGCCCTCCCAGGCGCAGGACCCAAGCATCTCTGCAGCTTGCACACTCGGAGGCCCAGGAAGTCCTTCCTACTACCCCTGACCCCATGCAGGTTCAGTGGCGGTCTACTTCCACTGCCTGGCCTCCCTGCTTTCCCGGCAGCCTGCTCCAATCTTGGAGGGGGTTGGGCCTGAGCCTCGGGGCCACGAACGGCAGTGGGAGGCAGACAGATTCCTGGGCAGAAGGAGGCAGGTACCCGGTAAGGCCCCTCCTTCAGGCTAGGGAGGGCCTGAAAGCTGGGGTCCATGTTGCGAGTCCCCCGGACAGGCGTAGGGACTTGAGGTGCATCCTCCGTGCCCCCTTGCCCGCCCCCCGCCGCCCATAGAAAAATCGGCAGGGACTTCCTCCCCTCTGAGGTCCATAAAAGCCCAAGGCTTAGCCAGTGCAGAGGGCAGAGGACTGAGATGACAGGATGACCAGCTGCAGAGAGGAGCTACCCTCTCTGCCGAGAGCTTCAGAGACCTGCAGGACGTCCCAGTGACCTGCCTGTGGAGAGCAGCCATTCTCTCCAGGGCCTCCTCTCTGCTGAGAACTGAACACTCCATGAGAGGACCTGCCTACATAGAGGAGCTAACCACTGTGGTTTTCATCTGAGCTGTTGTTACATTCAATAAAGCTCCTCTTCATCTTGTTCACCTTCCACTTGTCTGCGCACCTCATTCTTCCTGACCACAGGACAAGAACTCGAGCAAAGGTGCCACCAGCCACAGAGCTTTCTGGGAAGAAAATCGACACCCCAAAGATCCCATAACCCCATGACACTTTCTTACCACAAAGGAGCACTTTCCTTTTTCATCCACTCATTCCCTGGTTGTTTTAAGTTTTGGGTGATTCCAAAATTCTGTAAAAGTTGATTCTTTCCAGGTTTTGCCAGCCTGTTAATTGCTTCTGTGGATGGAAAAAGCCCTGGTGTTACCTATTCCACTATTTTTGGTGATGTCACTCTCCTGTGTTTTCTTTTAAGTGGCAGATAAAATGTAGCAAAAAAAGTTAAATGTCAGTCTTTTTTTTTTTTTTTTTTCTGAGGCAGAGCCTCGCTCTGTCTCCCAGGCTGGAATGCAGTGGCCCAATTTCGGCTCTCTGCAAGCTGCGCCTCCCAGGTTCAAGCCATTCTCCTCCCTCAGCTTCCTGAGTAGCTGGGACTACAGGTGCCCGCCACCAAGCCCGGCTAATTTTTTTGTATTTTTAGTAGAGACGGGTTTCACTGTGTTAGCCAGGATGGTCTCCACCTCCAAATATCAGTCTTTTAGGTCATTTGTCTTCACGCTAAAACAAAGCAATACAAACTTTTCCTATGTCTTCACATTTGTAGGAATTTTCCTGTTTGCAAGGAGGATGGCTTT